>NC_000016.10:36503526-36669387 GCF_000001405.40 Homo sapiens
AAACACTCTGTTTGTAAAGTCTGCAAGTGGATATCTTGGCCTCTTAGAGGCCTTCGTTGGAAGCGGGTTTTTTCATGTAAGGATAGACAGAGGAATTCCCAGTAACTTCCTTGTGTTGTGTGCATTCAACTCACAGAGTTGAATGATTCTTTACACAGAGCAGATTTGAGACACTCTTTTGGTGGAATTTGTAAGTGGAGAATTCAGCCGCTTTGAGGTCAACGGTAGAAAAGGAAATATCTTCGTATAAAAACTAGACAGAATGATTCTCAGAAACTGTTTTGTGATGTGTGCGTTCAACTCACAGAGTTTAACCTTTCTTTTCAAAGAGCAGTTAGGAAACACTCTGTTTGTAAAGTCTGCAAGTGGATATTCAGACCTCTTTGAGGCCTTCGTTGGAAACGGGATTTCTTCATATTATGCTAGACAGATGAATTCTCAGTAACTTCCTTGTGTTGTGTGTATTCAACTCACAGAGTTGAACGATCCTTTACACAGAGCAGATTTGAAACACTGTTTTTCTGGAATTTGCAAGTGGAGATTTCAGCCGCTTTGAGGTCAATGGTAGAAAAGGAAATATCTTCGTATAAAAACTAGACAGAATGATTCTCAGAAACTCCTTTGTGATGTGTGCGTTCAACTCACAGAGTTTAACCTTTCTTTTCACAGAGCAGTTAGGAAACACTCTGTTTGTGAAGCCTGCCAGTGGATATTCGGACCTCTTTGAGGCCTTCGTTGGAAACGGGATTTCTTCATATTATGCTAGACAGAAGATTTCTCAGTAACTTCTTTGTGTTGTGTGTATGCAACTCACAGAGTTCAACCTTCCTTTAGACAGAGCAGATTTGAAACACTCTTTTTGTGGAATTTGCAAGTGGAGATTTCAAGCGCTTCGATGCCAATGGTAGAAAAGGAAATATCTTCGTATAAAAACAAGACAAACTCGTTCCCAGACACTGCGTAGTGATGTGTGTGTTTAACTCACAGAGTTTCACCTTTCTTTTCATACAGCATTCTGGAAACCCTGTGTTTGTAAAGTCTGCAAGTGGATATTTGGACCTCTTAGATGCCTTCGTTGGAAACGGGATTTCTTCATATAATGCTAGAGGGAAGAATTCTTAGTAACTTCTTTGTGTTGTGTGTATTCAACTGACAGAGTTGAACCTTCCTTTAGACAGAGCAGATTTGAAAGTCTCTTTTTGTGGAATTTGCAAGTGGAGATTTCAAGCGCTTTGAGGCCGAAAGCAGAAAAGGAAATATTTTCCTATAAAAACTCGACAGAATCTTTCTCAGAAACTGCTCTGGGATGTGTGCGTTCAACTCACAGAGTTTAACTTTTCTTTTCATTCAGCAGTTTGGAAACACTCTGTTTGGAAAGTCTGCACGTGGATATTTTGACCTCTTTGAGGCCTTCGTTGGAAACGGGTTTTTTTCATGTAAGGCTAGACAGAAGAAATCTCAGTAACTTCCTTGTGTTGTGTGTATTCAACTGACAGAGTTGAACCTTCCTTTAGACAGAGCAGATTCGAAACACTCTTTTTCTGCAATTTGCAAGTGGAGACTTCAAGCGCTTTGAGGCCAAAGGCAGAAAAGGAAATATCTTCGTATAAAAACCCGACAGAATCATTCTCAGAAACTGCTCTGTGATGTGTGCGTTCAACTCACAGAGTTTAACTTTTCTTTTCATTCAGCAGTTTGGAAACACTCTGTTTGTAAAGTCTGCAAGTGGATATCTTGGCCTCTTAGAGGCCTTCGTTGGAAACGGGTTTTTTCATGTAAGGTTAGACAGAGGAATTCCCAGTAACTTCCTTGTGTTGTGTGCATTCAACTCACAGAGTTGAATGATTCTTTACACAGAGCAGATTTGAGACACTCTTTTGGTGGAATTTGTAAGTGGAGAATTCAGCCGCTTTGAGGTCAACGGTAGAAAAGGAAATATCTTCGTATAAAAACTAGAAAGAATGATTCTCAGAAACTGTTTTGTGATGTGTGCGTTCAACTCACAGAGTTTAACCTTTCTTTTCAAAGAGCAGTTAGGAAACACTCTGTTTGTAAAGTCTGCAAGTGGATATTCAGACCTCTTTGAAGCCTTCGTTGGAAACGGGATTTCATCATATTATGCTAGACAGATGAATTCTCAGTAACTTCCTTGTGTTGTGTGTATTCAACTCACAGAGTTGAACGATCCTTTACACAGAGCAGATTTGAAACACTGTTTTTCTGGAATTTGCAAGTGGAGATTTCAGCCGCTTTGAGGTCAATGGTAGAAAAGGAAATATCTTCGTATAAAAACTGGACAGAATGATTCTCAGAAACTCCTTTGTGATGTGTGCGTTCAACTCACAGAGTTTAACCTTTCTTTTCACAGAGCAGTTAGGAAACACTCTGTTTGTGAAGCCTGCCAGTGGATATTCGGACCTCTTTGAGGCCTTCGTTGGAAACGGGATTTCTTCATATTTTGCTAGACAGAAGATTTCTCAGTAACTTCTTTGTGTTGTGTGTATGCAACTCACAGAGTTCAACCTTCCTTTAGACAGAGCAGATTTGAAACACTCTTTTTGTGGAATTTGCAAGTGGAGATTTCAAGCGCTTCGATGCCAATGGTAGAAAAGGAAATATCTTCGTATAAAAACAAGACAAACTCGTTCCCAGACACTGCGTAGTGATGTGTGTGTTTAACTCACAGAGTTTCACCTTTCTTTTCATACAGCATTCTGGAAACCCTCTGTTTGTAAAGTCTGCAAGTGGATATTTGGACCTCTTAGATGCCTTCGTTGGAAACGGGATTTCCTCATATAATGCTAGAGGGAAGAATTCTTAGTAACTTCTTTGTGTTGTGTGTATTCAACTGACAGAGTTGAACCTTCCTTTAGACAGAGCAGATTTGAAAGTCTCTTTTTGTGGAATTTGCAAGTGGAGATTTCAAGCGCTTTGAGGCCAAAAGCAGAAAAGGAAATATTATCCTATAAAAACTAGACAGAATCTTTCTCAGAAACTGCTCTGGGATGTGTGCGTTCAACTCACAGAGTTTAACTTTTCTTTTCATTCAGCAGTTTGGAAACACTCTGTTTGGAAAGTCTGCACGTGGATATTTTGACCTCTTTGAGGCCTTCGTTGGAAACGGGTTTTTTTCATGTAAGGCTAGACAGAAGAAATCTCAGTAACTTCCTTGTGTTGTGTGTATTCAACTGACAGAGTTGAACCTTCTTTTAGACAGAGCAGATTCGAAACACTCTTTTTCTGCAATTTGCAAGTGGAGACTTCAAGCGCTTTGAGGCCAAAGGCAGAAAAGGAAATATCTTCGTATAAAAACCCGACAGAATCATTCTCAGAAACTGCTCTGTGATGTGTGCGTTCAACTCACAGAGTTTAACTTTTCTTTTCATTCAGCAGTTTGGAAACACTCTGTTTGTAAAGTCTGCAAGTGGATATCTTGGCCTCTTAGAGGCCTTCGTTGGAAACGGGTTTTTTCATGTAAGGTTAGACAGAGGAATTCCCAGTAACTTCCTTGTGTTGTGTGCATTCAACTCACAGAGTTGAATGATTCTTTACACAGAGCAGATTTGAGACACTCTTTTGGTGGAATTTGTAAGTGGAGAATTCAGCCGCTTTGAGGTCAACGGTAGAAAAGGAAATATCTTCGTATAAAAACTAGACAGAATGATTCTCAGAAACTGTTTTGTGATGTGTGCGTTCAACTCACAGAGTTTAACCTTTCTTTTCAAAGAGCAGTTAGGAAACACTCTGTTTGTAAAGTCTGCAAGTGGATATTCAGACCTCTTTGAGGCCTTCGTTGGAAACGGGATTTCTTCATATTATGCTAGACAGATGAATTCTCAGTAACTTCCTTGTGTTGTGTGTATTCAACTCACAGAGTTGAACGATCCTTTACACAGAGCAGATTTGAAACACTGTTTTTCTGGAATTTGCAAGTGGAGATTTCAGCCGCTTTGAGGTCAATGGTAGAAAAGGAAATATCTTCGTATAAAAACTAGACAGAATGATTCTCAGAAACTCCTTTGTGATGTGTGCGTTCAACTCACAGAGTTTAACCTTTCTTTTCACAGAGCAGTTAGGAAACACTCTGTTTGTGAAGCCTGCCAGTGGATATTCGGACCTCTTTGAGGCCTTCGTTGGAAACGGGATTTCTTCATATTATGCTAGACAGAAGATTTCTCAGTAACTTCTTTGTGTTGTGTGTATGCAACTCACAGAGTTCAACCTTCCTTTAGACAGAGCAGATTTGAAACACTCTTTTTGTGGAATTTGCAAGTGGAGATTTCAAGCGCTTCGATGCCAATGGTAGAAAAGGAAATATCTTCGTATAAAAACAAGACAAACTCGTTCCCAGACACTGCGTAGTGATGTGTGTGTTTAACTCACAGAGTTTCACCTTTCTTTTCATACAGCATTCTGGAAACCCTCTGTTTGTAAAGTCTGCAAGTGGATATTTGGACCTCTTAGATGCCTTCGTTGGAAACGGGATTTCTTCATATAATGCTAGAGGGAAGAATTCTTAGTAACTTCTTTGTGTTGTGTGTATTCAACTGACAGAGTTGAACCTTCCTTTAGACAGAGCAGATTTGAAAGTCTCTTTTTGTGGAATTTGCAAGTGGAGATTTCAAGCGCTTTGAGGCCAAAAGCAGAAAAGGAAATATTTTCCTATAAAAACTAGACAGAATCATTCTCAGAAACTGCTCTGTGATGTGTGCGTTCAACTCACAGAGTTTAACTTTTCTTTTCATTCAGCAGTTTGGAAACACTGTTTGGAAAGTCTGCACGTGGATATTTTGACCTCTTTGAGGCCTTCGTTGGAAACGGGTTTTTTTCATGTAAGGCTAGACAGAAGAAATCTCAGTAACTTCCTTGTGTTGTGTGTATTCAACTGACAGAGTTGAACCTTCCTTTAGACAGAGCAGATTCGAAACACTCTTTTTCTGCAATTTGCAAGTGGAGACTTCAAGCGCTTTGAGGCCAAAGGCAGAAAAGGAAATATCTTCGTATAAAAACCCGACAGAATCATTCTCAGAAACTGCTCTGTGATGTGTGCGTTCAACTCACAGAGTTTAACTTTTCTTTTCATTCAGCAGTTTGGAAACACTCTGTTTGTAAAGTCTGCAAGTGGATATCTTGGCCTCTTAGAGGCCTTCGTTGGAAACGGGTTTTTTCATGTAAGGATAGACAGAGGAATTCCCAGTAACTTCCTTGTGTTGTGTGCATTCAACTCACAGAGTTGAACGATTCTTTACACAGAGCAGATTTGAGACACTCTTTTGGTGGAATTTGTAAGTGGAGAATTCAGCCGCTTTGAGGTCAACGGTAGAAAAGGAAATATCTTCGTATAAAAACTAGACAGAATGATTCTCAGAAACTGTTTTGTGATGTGTGCGTTCAACTCACAGAGTTTAACCTTTCTTTTCAGAGAGCAGTTAGGAAACACTCTGTTTGTAAAGTCTGCAAGTGGATATTCAGACCTCTTTGAGGCCTTCGTTGGAAACGGGATTTCTTCATATTATGCTAGACAGATGAATTCTCAGTAACTTCCTTGTGTTGTGTGTATTCAACTCACAGAGTTGAACGATCCTTTACACAGAGCAGATTTGAAACACTGTTTTTCTGGAATTTGCAAGTGGAGATTTCAGCCGCTTTGAGGTCAATGGTAGAAAAGGAAATATCTTCGTATAAAAACTAGACAGAATGATTCTCAGAAACTCCTTTGTGATGTGTGCGTTCAACTCACAGAGTTTAACCTTTCTTTTCACAGAGCAGTTAGGAAACACTCTGTTTGTGAAGCCTGCCAGTGGATATTCGGACCTCTTTCAGGCCTTCGTTGGAAACGGGATTTCTTCATATTATGCTAGACAGAAGATTTCTCAGTAACTTCTTTGTGTTGTGTGTATGCAAATCACAGAGTTCAACCTTCCTTTAGACAGAGCAGATTTGAAACACTCTTTTTGTGGAATTTGCAAGTGGAGATTTCAAGCGCTTCGATGCCAATGGTAGAAAAGGAAATATCTTCGTATAAAAACAAGACAAACTCGTTCCCAGACACTGCGTAGTGATGTGTGTGTTTAACTCACAGAGTTTAACCTTTCTTTTCATACAGCATTCTGGAAACCCTGTGTTTGTAAAGTCTGCAAGTGGATATTTGGACCTCTTAGATGCCTTCGTTGGAAACGGGATTTCTTCATATAATGCTAGAGGGAAGAATTCTTAGTAACTTCTTTGTGTTGTGTGTATTCAACTGACAGAGTTGAACCTTCCTTTAGACAGAGCAGATTTGAAAGTCTCTTTTTGTGGAATTTGCAAGTGGAGATTTCAAGCGCTTTGAGGCCAAAAGCAGAAAAGGAAATATTTTCCTATAAAACCTCGACAGAATCTTTCTCAGAAACTGCTCTGGGATGTGTGCGTTCAACTCACAGAGTTTAACTTTTCTTTTCATTCAGCAGTTTGGAAACACTCTGTTTGGAAAGTCTGCACGTGGATATTTTGACCTCTTTGAGGCCTTCGTTGGAAACGGGTTTTTTTCATGTAAGGCTAGACAGAAGAAATCTCAGTAACTTCCTTGTGTTGTGTGTATTCAACTGACAGAGTTGAACCTTCCTTTAGACAGAGCAGATTCGAAACACTCTTTTTCTGCAATTTGCAAGTGGAGACTTCAAGCGCTTTGAGGCCAAAGGCAGAAAAGGAAATATCTTCGTATAAAAACCCGACAGAATCATTCTCAGAAACTGCTCTGTGATGTGTGCGTTCAACTCACAGAGTTTAACTTTTCTTTTCATTCAGCAGTTTGGAAACACTCTGTTTGTAAAGTCTGCAAGTGGATATCTTGGCCTCTTACAGGCCTTCGTTGGAAACGGGTTTTATCATGTAAGGTTAGACAGAGGAATTCCCAGTAACTTCCTTGTGTTGTGTGCATTCAACTCACAGAGTTGAATGATTCTTTACACAGAGCAGATTTGAGACACTCTTTTGGTGGAATTTGTAAGTGGAGAATTCAGCCGCTTTGAGGTCAACGGTAGAAAAGGAAATATCTTCGTATAAAAACTAGACAGAATGATTCTCAGAAACTGTTTTGTGATGTGTGCGTTCAACTCACAGAGTTTAACCTTTCTTTTCAGAGAGCAGTTAGGAAACACTCTGTTTGTAAAGTCTGCAAGTGGATATTCAGACCTCTTTGAGGCCTTCGTTGGAAACGGGATTTCTTCATATTATGCTAGACAGATGAATTCTCAGTAACTTCCTTGTGTTGTGTGTATTCAACTCACAGAGTTGAACGATCCTTTACACAGAGCAGATTTGAAACACTGTTTTTCTGGAATTTGCAAGTGGAGATTTCAGCCGATTTGAGGTCAATGGTAGAAAAGGAAATATCTTCGTATAAAAACTAGACAGAATGATTCTCAGAAACTCCTTTGTGATGTGTGCGTTCAACTCACAGAGTTTAACCTTTCTTTTCACAGAGCAGTTAGGAAACACTCTGTTTGTGAAGCCTGCCAGTGGATATTCGGACCTCTTTGAGGCCTTCGTTGGAAACGGGATTTCTTCATATTATGCTAGACAGAAGATTTCTCAGTAACTTCTTTGTGTTGTGTGTATGCAACTCACAGAGTTCAACCTTCCTTTAGACAGAGCAGATTTGAAACACTCTTTTTGTGGAATTTGCAAGTGGAGATTTCAAGCGCTTCGATGCCAATGGTAGAAAAGGAAATATCTTCGTATAAAAACAAGACAAACTCGTTCCCAGACACTGCGTAGTGATGTGTGTGTTTAACTCACAGAGTTTAACCTTTCTTTTCATACAGCATTCTGGAAACCCTGTGTTTGTAAAGTCTGCAAGTGGATATTTGGACCTCTTAGATGCCTTCGGTTGGAAACGGGATTTCTTCATATAATGCTAGAGGGAAGAATTCTTAGTAACTTCTTTGTGTTGTGTGTATTCAACTGACAGAGTTGAACCTTCCTTTAGACAGAGCAGATTTGAAAGTCTCTTTTTGTGGAATTTGCAAGTGGAGATTTCAAGCGCTTTGAGGCCAAAAGCAGAAAAGGAAATATTTTCCTATAAAAACTCGACAGAATCTTTCTCAGAAACTGCTCTGGGATGTGTGCGTTCAACTCACAGAGTTTAACTTTTCTTTTCATTCAGCAGTTTGGAAACACTCTGTTTGGAAAGTCTGCACGTGGATATTTTGACCTCTTTGAGGCCTTCGTTGGAAACGGGTTTTTTTCATGTAAGGCTAGACAGAAGAAATCTCAGTAACTTCCTTGTGTTGTGTGTATTCAACTGACAGAGTTGAACCTTCCTTTAGACAGAGCAGATTCGAAACACTCTTTTTCTGCAATTTGCAAGTGGAGACTTCAAGCGCTTTGAGGCCAAAGGCAGAAAAGGAAATATCTTCGTATAAAAACCCGACAGAATCATTCTCAGAAACTGCTCTGTGATGTGTGCGTTCAACTCACAGAGTTTAACTTTTCTTTTCATTCAGCAGTTTGGAAACACTCTGTTTGTAAAGTCTGCAAGTGGATATCTTGGCCTCTTAGAGGCCTTCGTTGGAAACGGGTTTTTTCATGTAAGGTTAGACAGAGGAATTCCCACTAACTTCCTTGTGTTGTGTGCATTCAACTCACAGAGTTGAATGATTCTTTACACAGAGCAGATTTGAGACACTCTTTTGGTGGAATTTGTAAGTGGAGAATTCAGCTGCTTTGAGGTCAACAGTAGAAAAGGAAATATCTTCGTATAAAAACTAGACAGAATGATTCTCAGAAACTGTTTTGTGATGTGTGCTTTCAACTCACAGAGTTTAACCTTTCTTTTCAAAGAGCAGTTAGGAAACACTCTGTTTGTAAAGTCTGCAAGTGGATATTCAGACCTCTTTGAGGCCTTCGTTGGAAACGGGATTTCTTCATATTATGCTAGACAGATGAATTCTCAGTAACTTCCTTGTGTTGTGTGTATTCAACTCACAGAGTTAAACGATCCTTTACACAGAGCAGATTTGAAACACTGTTTTTCTGGAATTTGCAAGTGGAGATTTCAGCCGCTTTGAGGTCAATGGTAGAAAAGGAAATATCTTCGTATAAAAACTAGACAGAATGATTCTCAGAAACTCCTTTGTGATGTGTGCGTTCAACTCACAGAGTTTAACCTTTCTTTTCACAGAGCAGTTAGGAAACACTCTGTTTGTGAAGCCTGCCAGTGGATATTCGGACCTCTTTGAGGCCTTCGTTGGAAACGGGATTTCTTCATATTATGCTAGACAGAAGATTTCTCAGTAACTTCTTTGTGTTGTGTGTATGCAACTCACAGAGTTCAACCTTCCTTTAGACAGAGCAGATTTGAAACACTCTTTTTGTGGAATTTGCAAGTGGAGATTTCAAGCGCTTCGATGCCAATGGTAGAAAAGGAAATATCTTCGTATAAAAACAAGACAAACTCGTTCCCAGACACTGCGTAGTGATGTGTGTGTTTAACTCACAGAGTTTCACCTTTCTCTTCATACAGCATTCTGGAAACCCTCTGTTTGTAAAGTCTGCAAGTGGATATTTGGACCTCTTAGATGCCTTCGTTGGAAACGGGATTTCTTCATATAATGCTAGAGGGAAGAATTCTTAGTAACTTCTTTGTGTTGTGTGTATTCAACTGACAGAGTTGAACCTTCCTTTAGACAGAGCAGATTTGAAAGTCTCTTTTTGTGGAATTTGCAAGTGGAGATTTCAAGCGCTTTGAGGCCAAAAGCAGAAAAGGATATATTTTCCTATAAAAACTAGACAGAATCTTTCTCAGAAACTGCTCTGGGATGTGTGCGTTCAACTCACAGAGTTTAACTTTTCTTTTCATTCAGCAGTTTGGAAACACTCTGTTTGGAAAGTCTGCACGTGGATATTTTGACCTCTTTGAGGCCTTCGTTGGAAACGGGTTTTTTTCATGTAACGCTAGACAGAAGAAATCTCAGTAACTTCCTTGTGTTGTGTGTATTCAACTGACAGAGTTGAACCTTCTTTTAGACAGAGCAGATTCGAAACACTCTTTTTCTGCAATTTGCAAGTGGAGACTTCAAGCGCTTTGAGGCCAAAGGCAGAAAAGGAAATATCTTCGTATAAAAACCCGACAGAATCATTCTCAGAAACTGCTCTGTGATGTGTGCGTTCAACTCACAGAGTTTAACTTTTCTTTTCATTCAGCAGTTTGGAAACACTCTGTTTGTAAAGTCTGCAAGTGGATATCTTGGCCTCTTAGAGGCCTTCGTTGGAAACGGGTTTTTTCATGTAAGGTTAGACAGAGGAATTCCCAGTAACTTCCTTGTGTTGTGTGCATTCAACTCACAGAGTTGAATGATTCTTTACACAGAGCAGATTTGAGACACTCTTTTGGTGGAATTTGTTAGTGGAGAATTCAGCCGCTTTGAGGTCAGCGGTAGAAAAGGAAATATCTTCGTATAAAAACTAGACAGAATGATTCTCAGAAACTGTTTTGTGATGTGTGCTTTCAACTCACAGAGTTTAACCTTTCTTTTCAAAGAGCAGTTAGGAAACACTCTGTTTGTAAAGTCTGCAAGTGGATATTCAGACCTCTTTGAGGCCTTCGTTGGAAACGGGATTTCTTCATATTATGCTAGAGAGATGAATTCTCAGTAACTTCCTTGTGTTGTGTGTATTCAACTCACAGAGTTGAACGATCCTTTACACAGAGCAGATTTGAAACACTGTTTTTCTGGAATTTGCAAGTGGAGATTTCAGCCGCTTTGAGGTCAATGGTAGAAAAGGAAATATCTTCGTATAAAAACTAGACAGAATGATTCTCAGAAACTCCTTTGTGATGTGTGCGTTCAACTCACAGAGTTTAACCTTTCTTTTCACAGAGCAGTTAGGAAACACTCTGTTTGTGAAGCCTGCCAGTGGATATTCGGACCTCTTTGAGGCCTTCGTTGGAAACGGGATTTCTTCATATTATGCTAGACAGAAGATTTCTCAGTAACTTCTTTGTGTTGTGTGTATGCAACTCACAGAGTTCAACCTTCCTTTAGACAGAGCAGATTTGAAACACTCTTTTTGTGGAATTTGCAAGTGGAGATTTCAAGCGCTTCGATGCCAATGGTAGAAAAGGAAATATCTTCGTATAAAAACAAGACAAACTCGTTCCCAGACACTGCGTAGTGATGTGTGTGTTTAACTCACAGAGTTTCACCTTTCTTTTCATACAGCATTCTGGAAACCCTCTGTTTGTAAAGTCTGCAAGTGGATATTTGGACCTCTTAGATGTCTTCGTTGGAAACGGGATTTCTTCATATATTGCTAGAGGGAAAAATTCTTAGTAACTTCTTTGTGTTGTGTGTATTCAACTGACAGAGTTGAACCTTCCTTTAGACAGAGCAGATTTGAAAGTCTCTTTTTGTGGAATTTGCAAGTGGAGATTTCAAGCGCTTTGAGGCCAAAAGCAGAAAAGGAAATATTTTCCTATAAAAACTAGACAGAATCATTCTCAGAAACTGCTCTGTGATGTGTGCGTTCAACTCACAGAGCTTAACTTTTCTTTTCATTCAGCAGTTTGGAAACACTCTGTTTGGAAAGTCTGCACGTGGATATTTTGACCTCTTCGAGGCCTTCGTTGGAAACGGGTTTTTTTCATGTAAGGCTAGACAGAAGAAATCTCAGTAACTTCCTTGTGTTGTGTGCATTCAGTTGACAGGGTTGAACCTTCCTTTAGACAGAGCAGATTCGAAACACTCTTTTTCTGCAATTTGCAAGTGGAGACTTCTAGCGCATTGAGGCCAAAGGCAGAAAAGGAAATATCTTCGTATAAAAACCCGACAGAATCTTTCTCAGAAACTGCTCTGTGATGTGTGCGTTCAACTCACAGAGTTTAACTTTTCTTTTCTTTCAGCAGTTTGGAAACACTCTCTTTGTAAAGTCTGCAAGGGGATATATTGGCCTCTTAGAGGCCTTCGTGGGAAACGGGTTTTTTTCATGTAAGGTTAGACAGAGGAATTCCCAGTAACTTCCTTGTGTTGTGTGCATTCAACTCACAGAGTTGAATGATTCTTTACACAGAGCAGATTTGAGACACTCTTTTGGTGGAATTTGTAAGTGGAGAATTCAGCCGCTTTGAGGTCAATGGTAGAAAAGGAAATATCTTCGTATAAAAACTAGACAGAATGATTCTCAGAAACTGTTTTGTGATGTGTGCGTTCAACTCACAGAGTTTAACCTTTCTTTTCAAAGAGCAGTTAGGAAACACTCTGTTTGTAAAGTCTGCAACTGGATATTCAGAACTCTTTGAGGCCTTCGTTGGAAACGGGATTTCTTCATATTATGCTAGACAGATGAATTCTCAGTAATTTCCTTGTGTTGGGTGTATTCAACTCACAGAGTTGAACGATCCTTTACACAGAGCAGATTTGAAACACTCTTTTTCTGGAATCTGCAAGTGGAGATTTCAGCCGCTTTGAGGTCAATGGTAGAAAAGGAAATATCTTCGTATAAAAACTAGACAGAATGATTCTCAGAAACCCCTTTGTGATGTGTGCGTTCAACTCACAGAGTTTAACCTTTCTTTTCACAGAGCAGTTGGGAAACACTCTGTTTGTTAAGTCTGCCAGTGGATATTCGGACCTCTTTGAGGCCTTCGTTGGAAACGGGAGTTCTTCATATTATGCTAGACAGATTTCTCAGTAACTACTTTGTGTTGTGTGTATGCATCTCACAGAGTTCAACCTTCCTTTAGAGATAGCAGATTTGAAACACTCTTTTTGTTGAATTTGCAAGTGGAGATTTCAAGCGCTTCGATGCCAATGGTAGAAAAGGAAATATCTTCGTAGAAAAACAAGACAAACTCGTTCCCAGAAACTGCGTAGTGATGTGTGTGTTTAACTCACAGAGTTTAACCTTTCTTTTCATACAGAAGTCTGGAAACCCTGTGTTTGTAAAGTCTGCAAGTGGATATTTGGACCTCTTAGATGCCTTCGTTGGAAACGGGATTTCTCCACATACTGCTAGAGGGAAGAATTCTTAGTAACTTCTTTGTGTTGTGTGTATTCAACTGACAGAGTTGAACCTTCCTTTAGACAGAGCAGATTTGAAAGTCTCTTTTTGTGGAATTTGCAAGTGGAGATTTCAAGCGCTTTGAGGCCAAAAGCAGAAAAGGAAATATTTTCCTATAAAAACTCGACAGAATCATTCTCAGAAACTGCTCTGTGATGTGTGCGTTCAACTCACAGAGTTTAACTTTTCTTTTCATTCAGCAGTTTGGAAACACTCTGTTTGTAAAGTCTGCAAGTGGATATATTGGCCTCTTAGAGGCCTTCTTTGGAAACGGGTTTTTTTCATGTAAGGCTAGACAGAAGAAATCTCAGTAACTTCCTTGTGTTGTGTGTATTCAACTGACAGAGTTGAACCTTCCTTTAGACAGAGCAGATTCGAAACACTCTTTTTCTGCAATTTGCAAGTGGAGACTTCAAGCGCTTTGAGGCCAAAGGCAGAAAAGGAAATATCTTCGTATAAAAACCCGACAGAATCATTCTCAGAAACTGCTCTGTGATGTGTGCGTTCAACTCACAGAGTTTAACTTTTCTTTTCATTCAGCAGTTTGGAAACACTCTGTTTGTAAAGTCTGCAAGTGGATATCTTGGCCTCTTAGAGGCCTTCGTTGGAAACGGGTTTTTTCATGTAAGGTTAGACAGAGGAATTCCCAGTAACTTCCTTGTGTTGTGTGCATTCAACTCACAGAGTTGAATGATTCTTTACACAGAGCAGATTTGAGACACTCTTTTGGTGGAATTTGTTAGTGGAGAATTCAGCCGCTTTGAGGTCAACGGTAGAAAAGGAAATGTCTTCGTATAAAAACTAGACAGAATGATTCTCAGAAACTGTTTTTTGATGTGTGCGTTCAACTCACAGAGTTTAACCTTTCTTTTCAAAGAGCAGTTAGGAAACACTCTGTTTGTAAAGTCTGCAAGTGGATATTGAGACCTCTTTGAGGCCTTCGTTGGAAACGGGATTTCTTCATATTATGCTAGACAGAGAAATTCTCAGTAACTTCCTTGTGTTGTGTGTATTCAACTCACAGAGTTGAACGATCCTTTACACAGAGCAGATTTGAAACACTGTTTTTCTGGAATTTGCAAGTGGAGATTTCAGCCGCTTTGAGGTCAATGGTAGAAAAGGAAATATCTTCGTATAAAAACTAGACAGAATGATTCTCAGAAACTCCTTTGTGATGTGTGCGTTCAACTCACAGAGTTTAACCTTTCTTTTCACAGAGCAGTTAGGAAACACTCTGTTTGTGAAGCCTGCCAGTGGATATTCGGACCTCTTTGAGGCCTTCGTTGGAAACGGGATTTCTTCATATTATGCTATTCAGAAGATTTCTCAGTAACTTCTTTGTGTTGTGTGTATGCAACTCACAGAGTTCAACCTTCCTTTAGACAGAGCAGATTTGAAACACTCTTTTTGTGGAATTTGCAAGTGGAGATTTCAAGCGCTTCGATGCCAATGGTAGAAAAGGAAATATCTTCGTATAAAAACAAGACAAACTCGTTCCCAGACACTGCGTAGTGATGTGTGTGTTTAACTCACAGAGTTTAACCTTACTTTTCATACAGCATTCTGGAAACCCTGTGTTTGTAAAGTCTGCAAGTGGATATTTGGACCTCTTAGATGCCTTCGTTGGAAACGGGATTTCTTCATATAATGCTAGAGGGAAGAATTCTTAGTAACTTCTTTGTGTTGTGTGTATTCAACTGACAGAGTTGAACCTTCCTTTAGACAGAGCAGATTTGAAAGTCTCTTTTTGTGGAATTTGCAAGTGGAGATTTCAAGCGCTTTGAGGCCAAAAGCAGAAAAGGAAATATTTTCCTATAAAAACTAGACAGAATCTTTCTCAGAAACTGCTCTGGGATGTGTGCGTTCAACTCACAGAGTTTAACTTTTCTTTTCATTCAGCAGTTTGGAAACACTCTGTTTGGAAAGTCTGCACGTGGATATTTTGACCTCTTTGAGGCCTTCGTTGGAAACGGGTTTTTTTCATGTAACGCTAGACAGAAGAAATCTCAGTAAATTCCCTTGTGTTGTGTGTATTCAACTGACAGAGTTGAACCTTCCTTTAGACAGAGCAGATTCGAAACACTCTTTTTCTGCAATTTGCAAGTGGAGACTTCAAGCGCTTTGAGGCCAAAGGCAGAAAAGGAAATATCTTCGTATAAAAACCCGACAGAATCATTCTCAGAAACTGCTCTGTGATGTGTGCGTTCAACTCACAGAGTTTAACTTTTCTTTTCATTCAGCAGTTTGGAAACACTCTGTTTGGAAAGTCTGCACGTGGATATCTTGGCCTCTTAGAGGCCTTCGTTGGAAACGGGTTTTTTCATGTAAGGTTAGACAGAGGAATTCCCAGTAACTTCCCTTGTGTTGTGTGCATTCAACTCACAGAGTTGAATGATTCTTTACACAGAGCAGATTTGAGACACTCTTTTGGTGGAATTTGTTAGTGGAGAATTCAGCCGCTTTGAGGTCAACGGTAGAAAAGGAAATATCTTCGTATAAAAACTAGACAGAATGATTCTCAGAAACTGTTTTGTGATGTGTGCGTTCAACTCACAGAGTTTAACCTTTCTTTTCAAAGAGCAGTTAGGAAACACTCTGTTTGTAAAGTCTGCAAGTGGATATTCAGACCTCTTTGAGGCCTTCGTTGGAAACGGGATTTCTTCATATTATGCTAGACAGATGAATTCTCAGTAACTTCCTTGTGTTGTGTGTATTCAACTCACAGAGTTGAACGATCCTTTACACAGAGCAGATTTGAAACACTGTTTTTCTGGAATTTGCAAGTGGAGATTTCAGCCGCTTTGAGGTCAATGGTAGAAAAGGAAATATCTTCGTATAAAAACTAGACAGAATGATTCTCAGAAACTCCTTTGTGATGTGTGCGTTCAACTCACAGAGTTTAACCTTTCTTTTCACAGAGCAGTTAGGAAACACTCTGTTTGTGAAGCCTGCCAGTGGATATTCGGACCTCTTTGAGGCCTTCGTTGGAAACGGGATTTCTTCATATTATGCTAGACAGAAGATTTCTCAGTAACTTCTTTGTGTTGTGTGTATGCAACTCACAGAGTTCAACCTTCCTTTAGACAGAGCAGATTTGAAACACTCTTTTTGTGGAATTTGCAAGTGGAGATTTCAAGCGCTTCGATGCCAATGGTAGAAAAGGAAATATCTTCGTATAAAAACAAGACAAACTCGTTCCCAGACACTGCGTAGTGATGTGTGTGTTTAACTCACAGAGTTTCACCTTTCTTTTCATACAGCATTCTGGAAACCCTCTGTTTGTAAAGTCTGCAAGTGGATATTTGGACCTCTTAGATGCCTTCGTTGGAAACGGGATTTCTTCATATAATGCTAGAGGGAAGAATTCTTAGTAACTTCTTTGTGTTGTGTGTATTCAACTGACAGAGTTGAACCTTCCTTTAGACAGAGCAGATTTGAAAGTCTCTTTTTGTGGAATTTGCAAGTGGAGATTTCAAGCGCTTTGAGGCCAAAAGCAGAAAAGGAAATATTTTCCTATAAAAACTAGACAGAATCTTTCTCAGAAACTGCTCTGGGATGTGTGCGTTCAACTCACAGAGTTTAACTTTTCTTTTCATTCAGCAGTTTGGAAACACTCTGTTTGGAAAGTCTGCACGTGGATATTTTGACCTCTTTGAGGCCTTCGTTGGAAACGGGTTTTTTTCATGTAAGGCTAGACAGAAGAAATCTCAGTAACTTCCTTGTGTTGTGTGTATTCAACTGACAGAGTTGAACCTTCCTTTAGACAGAGCAGATTCGAAACACTCTTTTTCTGCAATTTGCAAGTGGAGACTTCAAGCGCTTTGAGGCCAAAGGCAGAAAAGGAAATATCTTCGTATAAAAACCCGACAGAATCATTCTCAGAAACTGCTCTGTGATGTGTGCGTTCAACTCACAGAGTTTAACTTTTCTTTTCATTCAGCAGTTTGGAAACACTCTGTTTGTAAAGTCTGCAAGTGGATATCTTGGCCTCTTAGAGGCCTTCGTTGGAAGCGGGTTTTTTCATGTAAGGTTAGACAGAGGAATTCCCACTAACTTCCTTGTGTTGTGTGCATTCAACTCACAGAGTTGAATGATTCTTTACACAGAGCAGATTTGAGACACTCTTTTGGTGGAATTTGTAAGTGGAGAATTCAGCCGCTTTGATGTCAACGGTAGAAAAGGAAATATCTTCGTATAAAAACTAGACAGAATGATTCTCAGAAACTGTTTTGTGATGTGTGCTTTCAACTCACAGAGTTTAACCTTTCTTTTCAAAGAGCAGTTAGGAAACACTCTGTTTGTAAAGTCTGCAAGTGGATATTCAGACCTCTTTGAGGCCTTCGTTGGAAACGGGATTTCTTCATATTATGCTAGACAGATGAATTCTCAGTAACTTCCTTGTGTTGTGTGTATTCAACTCACAGAGTTAAACGATCCTTTACACACAGCAGATTTGAAACACTGTTTTTCTGGAATTTGCAAGTGGAGATTTCAGCCGATTTGAGGTCAATGGTAGAAAAGGAAATATCTTCGTATAAAAACTAGACAGAATGATTCTCAGAAACTCCTTTGTGATGTGTGCGTTCAACTCACAGAGTTTAACCTTTCTTTTCACAGAGCAGTTAGGAAACACTCTGTTTGTGAAGCCTGCCAGTGGATATTCGGACCTCTTTGAGGCCTTCGTTGGAAACGGGATTTCTTCATATTATGCTAGACAGAAGATTTCTCAGTAACTTCTTTGTGTTGTGTGTATGCAACTCACAGAGTTCAACCTTCCTTTAGACAGAGCAGATTTGAAACACTCTTTTTGTGGAATTTGCAAGTGGAGATTTCAAGCGCTTCGATGCCAATGGTAGAAAAGGAAATATCTTCGTATAAAAACAAGACAAACTCGTTCCCAGACACTGCGTAGTGATGTGTGTGTTTAACTCACAGAGTTTAACCTTTCTTTTCATACAGCATTCTGGAAACCCTGTGTTTGTAAAGTCTGCAAGTGGATATTTGGACCTCTTAGATGCCTTCGGTTGGAAACGGGATTTCTTCATATAATGCTAGAGGGATGAATTCTCAGTAACTTCCCTTGTGTTGTGTGTATTCAACTCACAGAGTTGAACGATCCTTTACACAGAGCAGATTTGAAACACTGTTTTTCTGGAATTTGCAAGTGGAGATTTCAGCTGCTTTGAGGTCAATGGTAGAAAAGGAAATATCTTCGTATAAAAACTAGACAGAATGATTCTCAGAAACTCCTTTGTGATGTGTGCGTTCAACTCACAGAGTTTAACCTTTCTTTTCACAGAGCAGTTAGGAAACACTCTGTTTGTGAAGCCTGCCAGTGGATATTCGGACCTCTTTGAGGCCTTCGTTGGAAACGGGATTACTTCATATTATGCTAGACAGAAGATTTCTCAGTAACTTCTTTGTGTTGTGTGTATGCAACTCACAGAGTTCAACCTTCCTTTAGACAGAGCAGATTTGAAACACTCTTTTTGTGGAATTTGCAAGTGGAGATTTCAAGCGCTTTGAGGCCAAAAGCAGAAAAGGAAATATTTTCCTATAAAAACTAGACAGAATCTTTCTCAGAAACTGCTCTGGGATGTGTGCGTTCAACTCACAGAGTTTAACTTTTCTTTTCATTCAGCAGTTTGGAAACACTCTGTTTGGAAAGTCTGCACGTGGATATTTTGACCTCTTTGAGGCCTTCGTTGGAAACGGGTTTTTTTCATGTAAGGCTAGACAGAAGAAATCTCATTAACTTCCTTGTGTTGTGTGTATTCAACTGACAGAGTTGAACCTTCTTTTAGACAGAGCAGATTCGAAACACTCTTTTTCTGCAATTTGCAAGTGGAGACTTCAAGCGCTTTGAGGCCAAAGGCAGAAAAGGAAATATCTTCGTATAAAAACCCGACAGAATCATTCTCAGAAACTGCTCTGTGATGTGTGCGTTCAACTCACAGAGTTTAACTTTTCTTTTCATTCAGCAGTTTGGAAACACTCTGTTTGTAAAGTCTGCAAGTGGATATCTTGGCCTCTTAGAGGCCTTCGTTGGAAACGGGTTTTTTCATGTAAGGTTAGACAGAGGAATTCCCAGTAACTTCCTTGTGTTGTGTGCATTCAACTCACAGAGTTGAATGATTCTTTACACAGAGCAGATTTGAGACACTCTTTTGGTGGAATTTGTTAGTGGAGAATTCAGCCGCTTTGAGGTCAACGGTAGAAAAGGAAATATCTTCGTATAAAAACTAGACAGAATGATTCTCAGAAACTGTTTTGTGATGTGTGCGTTCAACTCACAGAGTTTAACCTTTCTTTTCAAAGAGCAGTTAGGAAACACTCTGTTTGTAAAGTCTGCAAGTGGATATTCAGACCTCTTTGAGGCCTTCGTTGGAAACGGGATTTCTTCATATTATGCTAGACAGATGAATTCTCAGTAACTTCCTTGTGTTGTGTGTATTCAACTCACAGAGTTGAACGATCCTTTACACAGAGCAGATTTGAAACACTGTTTTTCTGGAATTTGCAAGTGGAGATTTCAGCCGCTTTGAGGTCAATGGTAGAAAAAGAAATATCTTCGTATAAAAACTAGACAGAATGATTCTCAGAAACTCCTTTGTGATGTGTGCGTTCAACTCACAGAGTTTAACCTTTCTTTTCACAGAGCAGTTAGGAAACACTCTGTTTGTGAAGCCTGCCAGTGGATATTCGGACCTCTTTGAGGCCTTCGTTGGAAACGGGATTTCTTCATATTATGCTAGACAGAAGATTTCTCAGTAACTTCTTTGTGTTGTGTGTATGCAACTCACAGAGTTCAACCTTCCTTTAGACAGAGCAGATTTGAAACACTCTTTTTGTGGAATTTGCAAGTGGAGATTTCAAGCGCTTCGATGCCAATGGTAGAAAAGGAAATATCTTCGTATAAAAACAAGACAAACTCGTTCCCAGACACTGCGTAGTGATGTGTGTGTTTAACTCACAGAGTTTAACCTTTCTTTTCATACAGCATTCTGGAAACCCTCTGTTTGTAAAGTCTGCAAGTGGATATTTGGACCTCTTAGATGCCTTCGTTGCAAACGGGATTTCTTCATATAATGCTAGAGGGAAGAATTCTTAGTAACTTCTTTGTGTTGTGTGTATTCAACTGACAGAGTTGCACCTTCCTTTAGACAGAGCAGATTTGAAAGTCTCTTTTTGTGGAATTTGCAAGTGGAGATTTCAAGCGCTTTGAGGCCAAAAGCAGAAAAGGAAATATTTTCCTATAAAAACTCGACAGAATCTTTCTCAGAAACTGCTCTGGGATGTGTGCGTTCAACTCACAGAGTTTAACTTTTCTTTTCATTCAGCAGTTTGGAAACACTCTGTTTGGAAAGTCTGCACGTGGATATTGTGACCTCTTTGAGGCCTTCGTTGGAAACAGGTTTTTTTCATGTAAGGCTAGACAGAAGAAATCTCAGTAACTTCCTTGTGTTGTGTGTATTCAACTGACAGAGTTGAACCTTCTTTTAGACAGAGCAGATTCGAAACACTCTTTTTCTGCAATTTGCAAGTGGAGACTTCAAGCGCTTTGAGGCCAAAGGCAGAAAAGGAAATATCTTCGTATAAAAACCCGACAGAATCATTCTCAGAAACTGCTCTGTGATGTGTGCGTTCAACTCACAGAGTTTAACTTTTCTTTTCATTCAGCAGTTTGGAAACACTCTGTTTGTAAAGTCTGCAAGTGGATATCTTGGCCTCTTAGAGGCCTTCGTTGGAAACGGGTTTTTTCATGTAAGGTTAGACAGAGGAATTCCCAGTAACTTCCTTGTGTTGTGTGCATTCAACTCACAGAGTTGAATGATTCTTTACACAGAGCAGATTTGAGACACTCTTTTGGTGGAATTTGTAAGTGGAGAATTCAGCCGCTTTGAGGTCAACGGTAGAAAAGGAAATATCTTCGTATAAAAACTAGACAGAATGATTCTCAGAAACTGTTTTGTGATGTGTGCGTTCAACTCACAGAGTTTAACCTTTCTTTTCAAAGAGCAGTTAGGAAACACTCTGTTTGTAAAGTCTGCAAGTGGATATTCAGACCTCTTTGAGGCCTTCGTTGGAAACGGGATTTCTTCATATTATGCTAGACAGATGAATTCTCAGTAACTTCCTTGTGTTGTGTGTATTCAACTCACAGAGTTAAACGATCCTTTACACAGAGCAGATTTGAAACACTGTTTTTCTGGAATTTGCAAGTGGAGATTTCAGCCGCTTTGAGGTCAACGGTAGAAAAGGAAATATCTTCGTATAAAAACTAGACAGAATGATTCTCAGAAACTCCTTTGTGATGTGTGCGTTCAACTCACAGAGTTTAACCTTTCTTTTCACAGAGCAGTTAGGAAACACTCTGTTTGTGAAGCCTGCCAGTGGATATTCGGACCTCTTTGAGGCCTTCGTTGGAAACGGGATTTCTTCATATTATGCTAGACAGAAGATTTCTCAGTAACTTCTTTGTGTTGTGTGTATGCAACTCACAGAGTTCAACCTTCCTTTAGACAGAGCAGATTTGAAACACTCTTTTTGTGGAATTTGCAAGTGGAGATTTCAAGCGCTTCGATGCCAATGGTAGAAAAGGAAATATCTTCGTATAAAAACAAGACAAACTCGTTCCCAGACACTGCGTAGTGATGTGTGTGTTTAACTCACAGAGTTTAACCTTTCTTTTCATACAGCATTCTGGAAACCCTCTGTTTGTAAAGTCTGCAAGTGGATATTTGGACCTCTTAGATGCCTTCGTTGGAAACGGGATTTCTTCATATAATGCTAGAGGGAAGAATTCTTAGTAACTTATTTGTGTTGTGTGTATTCAACTGACAGAGTTGAACCTTCCTTTAGACAGAGCAGATTTGAAAGTCTCTTTTTGTGGAATTTGCAAGTGCAGATTTCAAGCGCTTTGAGGCCAAAAGCAGAAAAGGAAATATTTTCCTATAAAAACTAGAGAGAATCATTCTCAGAAACTGCTCAGTGATGTGTGCGTTCAACTCACAGAGTTTAACTTTTCTTTTCATTCAGCAGTTTGGAAACACTCTGTTTGTAAAGTCTGCAAGTGGATATTTTGACCTCTTTGAGGCCTTCGTTGGGAACGGGTTTTTTTCATGTAATGCTAGACAGAAGAAATCTCAGTAACTTCCTTGTGTTGTGTGTATTCAACTGCCAGGGTTGAACCTTCCTTTAGACAGAGCAGATTCGAAACACTCTTTTTGTGCAATTTGCAAGTGGAGACTGCAAGCGCTTTGAGGCCAAAGGCAGAAAAGGAAATATCTTCGTATAAAAAACAGACAGAATCATTCTCAGAAACTGCTCTGTGATGTGTGCGTTCAACTCACAGAAGTTTAACTTTTCTTTTCATTCAGCAGTTTGGAAACACTCTGTTTGTAAAGTCTGCAAGTGGATATCTTGGCCTCTTAGAGGCCTTCGTTGGAAGCGGGTTTTTTCATGTAAGGATAGACAGAGGAATTCCCAGTAACTTCCTTGTGTTGTGTGCATTCAACTCACAGAGTTGAATGATTCTTTACACAGAGCAGATTTGAGACACTCTTTGGGTGGAATTTGTAAGTGGAGAATTCAGCCGCTTTGAGGTCAACGGTAGAAAAGGAAATACCTTCGTATAAAAACTAGACAGAATGATTCTCAGAAACTGTTTTGTGATGTGTGCGTTCAACTCACAGAGTTTAACCTTTCTTTTCAAAGAGCAGTTAGGAAACACTCTGTAAAGTCTGCAAGTGGATATTCAGACCTCTTTGAGGCCTTCGTTGGAAACGGGATTTCTTCATATAATGCTAGAGGGAAGAATTCTTAGTAACTTCTTTGTGTTGTGTGTATTCAACTGACAGAGTTGAACCTTCCTTTAGACAGAGCAGATTTGAAAGTCTCTTTTTGTGGAATTTGCAAGTGGAGATTTCAAGCGCTTTGAGGCCAAAAGCAGAAAAGGAAATATTTTCCTATAAAAACTAGAGAGAATCATTCTCAGAAACTGCTCTGTGATGTGTGTGTTCAACTCACAGAGTTTAACTTTCTTTTCATTCAGCAGTTTGGAAACACTCTGTTTGGAAAGTCTGCACGTGGATATTTTGACCTCTTTGAGGCCTTCGTTGGAAACGGGTTTTTTTCATGTAAGGCTAGACAAAAGAAATCTCAGTAACTTCCTTGTGTTGTGTGTATTCAACTGACAGAGTTGAACCTTCCTTTAGACAGAGCAGATTCGAAACGCTCTTTTTCTGCAATTTGCAAGTGGAGACTTCAAGCGCTTTGAGGCCAAAGGCAGAAAAGGAAATATCTTCGTATAAAAACCCGACAGAATCATTCTCAGAAACTGCTCTGTGATGTGTGCGTTCAACTCACAGAGTTTAACTTTTCTTTTCATTCAGCAGTTTGGAAACACTCTGTTTGTAAAGTCTGCAAGTGGATATCTTGGCCTCTTAGAGGCCTTCGTTGGAAACGCGTTTTTTCATGTAAGGTTAGACAGAGGAATTCCCAGTAACTTCCTTGTGTTGTGTGCATTCAACTCACAGAGTTGAATGATTCTTTACACAGAGCAGATTTGAGACACTCTTTTGGTGGAATTTGTAAGTGTAGAATTCAGCTGCTTTGAGGTCAACGGTAGAAAAGGAAATATCTTCGTATAGAAACTAGACAGAATGATTCTCAGAAACTGTTTTGTGATGTGTGCGTTCAACTCACAGAGTTTAACCTTTCTTTTCAAAGAGCAGTTAGGAAACACTCTGTTTGTAAAGTCTGCAAGTGGATATTCAGACCTCTTTGAAGCCTTCGTTGGAAACGGGATTTCATCATATGCTAGACAGATGAATTCTCAGTAACTTCCTTGTGTTGTGTGTATTCAACTCACAGAGTTGAACGATCCTTTACACAGAGCAGATTTGAAACACTGTTTTTCTGGAATTTGCAAGTGGAGATTTCAGCCGCTTTGAGGTCAATGGTAGAAAAGGAAATATCTTCGTATAAAAACTGGACAGAATGATTCTCAGAAACTCCTTTGTGATGTGTGCGTTCAACTCACAGAGTTTAACCTTTCTTTTCACAGAGCAGTTAGGAAACACTCTGTTTGTGAAGCCTGCCAGTGGATATTCGGACCTCTTTGAGGCCTTCGTTGGAAACGGGATTTCTTCATATTATGCTAGACAGAAGATTTCTCAGTAACTTCTTTGTGTTGTGTGTATGCAACTCACAGAGTTCAACCTTCCTTTAGACAGAGCAGATTTGAAACACTCTTTTTGTGGAATTTGCAAGTGGAGATTTCAAGCGCTTCGATGCCAATGGTAGAAAAGGAAATATCTTCGTATAAAAACAAGACAAACTCGTTCCCAGACACTGCGTAGTGATGTGTGTGTTTAACTCACAGAGTTTCACCTTTCTTTTCATACAGCATTCTGGAAACCCTCTGTTTGTAAAGTCTGCAAGTGGATATTTGGACCTCTTAGATGCCTTCGTTGGAAACGGGATTTCTTCATATAATGCTAGAGGGAAGAATTCTTAGTAACTTCTTTGTGTTGTGTGTATTCAACTGACAGAGTTGAACCTTCCTTTAGACAGAGCAGATTTGAAAGTCTCTTTTTGTGGAATTTGCAAGTGGAGATTTCAAGCGCTTTGAGGCCAAAAGCAGAAAAGGAAATGTTTTCCTATAAAAACTAGACAGAATCTTTCTCAGAAACTGCTCTGGGATGTGTGCGTTCAACTCACAGAGTTTAACTTTTCTTTTCATTCAGCAGTTTGGAAACACTCTGTTTGGAAAGTCTGCACGTGGATATTTTGACCTCTTTGAGGCCTTCGTTGGAAACGGGTTTTTTTCATGTAAGGCTAGACAGAAGAAATCTCAGTAACTTCCTTGTGTTGTGTGTATTCAACTGACAGAGTTGAACCTTCTTTTAGACAGAGCAGATTCGAAACACTCTTTTTCTGCAATTTGCAAGTGGAGACTTCAAGCGCTTTGAGGCCAAAGGCAGAAAAGGAAATATCTTCGTATAAAAACCCGACAGAATCATTCTCAGAAACTGCTCTGTGATGTGTGCGTTCAACTCACAGAGTTTAACTTTTCTTTTCATTCAGCAGTTTGGAAACACTCTGTTTGTAAAGTCTGCAAGTGGATATCTTGGCCTCTTAGAGGCCTTCGTTGGAAACGGGTTTTTTCATGTAAGGTTAGACAGAGGAATTCCCAGTAACTTCCTTGTGTTGTATGCATTCAACTCACAGAGTTGAATGATTCTTTACACAGAGCAGATTTGAGACACTCTTTTGGTGGAATTTGTAAGTGGAGAATTCAGCCGCTTTGAGGTCAACGGTAGAAAAGGAAATATCTTCGTATAAAAACTAGAAAGAATGATTCTCAGAAACTGTTTTGTGATGTGTGCGTTCAACTCACAGAGTTTAACCTTTCTTTTCAAAGAGCAGTTAGGAAACACTCTGTTTGTAAAGTCTGCAAGTGGATATTCAGACCTCTTTGAAGCCTTCGTTGGAAACGGGATTTCTTCATATTATGCTAGACAGATGAATTCTCAGTAACTTCCTTGTGTTGTGTGTATTCAACTCACAGAGTTGAACGATCCTTTACACAGAGCAGATTTGAAACACTGTTTTTCTGGAATTTGCAAGTGGAGATTTCAGCCGCTTTGAGGTCAATGGTAGAAAAGGAAATATCTTCGTATAAAAACTAGACAGAATGATTCTCAGAAACTCCTTTGTGATGTGTGCGTTCAACTCACAGAGTTTAACCTTTCTTTTCACAGAGCAGTTAGGAAACACTCTGTTTGTGAAGCCTGCCAGTGGATATTCGGACCTCTTTGAGGCCTTCGTTGGAAACGGGATTTCTTCATATTTTGCTAGACAGAAGATTTCTCAGTAACTTCTTTGTGTTGTGTGTATGCAACTCACAGAGTTCAACCTTCCTATAGACAGAGCAGATTTGAAACACTCTTTTTGTGGAATTTGCAAGTGGAAATTTCAAGCGCATCGATGCCAATGGTAGAAAAGGAAATATCTTCGTATAAAAACAAGACAAACTCGTTCCCAGAACACTGCGTAGTGATGTGTGTGTTTAACTCACAGAGTTTCACCTTTCTTTTCATACAGCATTCTGGAAACCCTCTGTTTGTAAAGTCTGCAAGTGGATATTTGGACCTCTTAGATGCCTTCGTTGGAAACGGGATTTCTTCATATAATGCTAGAGGGAAGAATTCTTAGTAACTTCTTTGTGTTGTGTGTATTCAACTGACAGAGTTGAACCTTCCTTTAGACAGAGCAGATTTGAAAGTCTCTTTTTGTGGAATTTGCAAGTGGAGATTTCAAGCGCTTTGAGGCCAAAAGCAGAAAAGGAAATATTTTCCTATAAAAACTCGACAGAATCATTCTCAGAAACTGCTCTGTGATGTGTGCGTTCAACTCACAGAGCTTAACTTTTCTTTTCATTCAGCAGTTTGGAAACACTCTGTTTGGAAAGTCTGCACGTGGATATTTTGACCTCTTCGAGGCCTTCGTTGGAAACGGGTTTTTTTCATGTAAGGCTAGACAGAAGAAATCTCAGTAACTTCCTTGTGTTGTGTGCATTCAGTTGACAGGGTTGAACCTTCCTTTAGACAGAGCAGATTCGAAACACTCTTTTTCTGCAATTTGCAAGTGGAGACTTCTAGCGCATTGAGGCCAAAGGCAGAAAAGGAAATATCTTCGTATAAAAACCCGACAGAATCATTCTCAGAAACTGCTCTGTGATGTGTGCGTTCAACTCACAGAGTTTAACTTTTCTTTTCATTCAGCAGTTTGGAAACACTCTGTTTGTAAAGTCTGCAAGTGGATATCTTGGCCTCTTAGAGGCCTTCGTTGGAAACGGGTTTTTTCATGTAAGGATAGACAGAGGAATTCCCAGTAACTTCCTTGTGTTGTGTGCATTCAACTCACAGAGTTGAATGATTCTTTACACAGAGCAGATTTGAGACACTCTTTGGGTGGAATTTGTAAGTGGAGAATTCAGCCGCTTTGAGGTCAACGGTAGAAAAGGAAATATCTTCGTATAAAAACTAGACAGAATGATTCTCAGAAACTGTTTTGTGATGTGTGCGTTCAACTCACAGAGTTTAACCTTTCTTTTCAAAGAGCAGTTAGGAAACACTCTGTTTGTAAAGTCTGCAAGCGGATATTCAGACCTCTTTGAGGCCTTCGTTGGAAACGGGATTTCTTCATATTATGCTAGACAGATGAATTCTCAGTAACTTCCTTGTGTTGTGTGTATTCAACTCACAGAGTTGAACGATCCTTTACACAGAGCAGATTTGAAACACTGTTTTTCTGGAATTTGCAAGTGGAGATTTCAGCCGCTTTGAGGTCAATGGTAGAAAAGGAAATATCTTCGTATAAAACCTAGACAGAATGATTCTCAGAAACTCCTTTGTGATGTGTGCGTTCAACTCACAGAGTTTAACCTTTCTTTTCACAGAGCAGTTAGGAAACACTCTGTTTGTGAAGCCTGCCAGGGGATATTCGGACCTCTTTGAGGCCTTCGTTGGAAACGGGATTTCTTCATATTATGCTAGACAGAAGATTTCTCAGTAACTTCTTTGTGTTGTGTGTATGCAACTCACAGAGTTCAACCTTCCTTTAGACAGAGCAGATTTGAAACACTCTTTTTGTGGAATTTGCAAGTGGAGATTTCAAGCGCTTCGATGCCAATGGTAGAAAAGGAAATATCTTCGTATAAAAACAAGACAAACTCGTTCCCAGACACTGCGTAGTGATGTGTGTGTTTAACTCACAGAGTTTAACCTTTCTTTTCATACAGCATTCTGGAAACCCTCTGTTTGTAAAGTCTGCAAGTGGATATTTGGACCTCTTAGATGCCTTCGTTGGAAACGGGATTTCTTCATATAATGCTAGAGGGAAGAATTCTTAGTAACTTCTTTGTGTTGTGTGTATTCAACTGACAGAGTTGAACCTTCCTTTAGACAGAGCAGATTTGAAAGTCTCTTTTTGTGGAATTTGCAAGTGGAGATTTCAAGCGCTTTGAGGCCAAAAGCAGAAAAGGAAATATTTTCCTATAAAAACTCGACAGAATCATTCTCAGAAACTGCTCTGTGATGTGTGCGTTCAACTCACAGAGTTTAACTTTTCTTTTCATTCAGCAGTTTGGAAACACTGTTTGGAAAGTCTGCACGTGGATATTTTGACCTCTTTGAGGCCTTCGTTGGAAACGGGTTTTTTTCATGTAAGGCTAGACAGAAGAAATCTCAGTAACTTCCTTGTGTTGTGTGTATTCAACTGACAGAGTTGAACCTTCCTTTAGACAGAGCAGATTCGAAACACTCTTTTTCTGCAATTTGCAAGTGGAGACTTCAAGCGCTTTGAGGCCAAAGGCAGAAAAGGAAATATCTTCGTATAAAAACCCGACAGAATCATTCTCAGAAACTGCTCTGTGATGTGTGCGTTCAACTCACAGAGTTTAACTTTTCTTTTCATTCAGCAGTTTGGAAACACTCTGTTTGTAAAGTCTGCAAGTGGATATCTTGGCCTCTTAGAGGCCTTCGTTGGAAACGGGTTTTTTCATGTAAGGTTAGACAGAGGAATTCCCAGTAACTTCCTTGTGTTGTGTGCATTCAACTCACAGAGTTGAATGATTCTTTACAGAGAGCAGATTTGAGACACTCTTTTGGTGGAATTTGAAAGTGGAGAATTCAGCCGCTTTGAGGTCAACGGTAGAAAAGGAAATATCTTCGTATAAAAACTAGACAGAATGATTCTCAGAAACTGTTTTGTGATGTGTGCGTTCAACTCACAGAGTTTAACCTTTCTTTTCAAAGAGCAGTTAGGAAACACTCTGTTTGTAAAGTCTGCAAGTGGATATTCAGACCTCTTTGAGGCCTTCGTTGGAAACGGGATTTCTTCATATTATGCTAGACAGATGAATTCTCAGTAACTTCCTTGTGTTGTGTGTATTCAACTCACAGAGTTGAACGATCCTTTACACAGAGCAGATTTGAAACATTGTTTTTCTGGAATTTGCAAGTGGAGATTTCAGCCGCTTTGAGGTCAATGGTAGAAAAGGAAATATCTTCGTATAAAAACTAGACAGAATGATTCTCAGAAACTCCTTTGTGATGTGTGCGTTCAACTCACAGGGTTTAACCTTTCTTTTCACAGAGCAGTTAGGAAACACTCTGTTTGTGAAGCCTGCCAGTGGATATTCGGACCTCTTTGAGGCCTTCGTTGGAAACGGGATTTCTTCATATTATGCTAGACAGAAGATTTCTCAGTAACTTCTTTGTGTTGTGTGTATGCAACTCACAGAGTTCAACCTTCCTTTAGACAGAGCAGATTTGAAACACTCTTTTTGTGGAATTTGCAAGTGGAGATTTCAAGCGCTTCGATGCCAATGGTAGAAAAGGAAATATCTTCGTATAAAAACAAGACAAACTCGTTCCCAGACACTGCGTAGTGATGTGTGTGTTTAACTCACAGAGTTTCACCTTTCTTTTCATACAGCCTTCTGGAAACCCTCTGTTTGTAAAGTCTGCAAGTGGATATTTGGACCTCTTAGATGCCTTCGTTGCAAACGGGATTTCTTCATATAATGCTAGAGGGAAGAATTCTTAGTAACTTCTTTGTGTTGTGTGTATTCAACTGACAGAGTTGAACCTTCCTTTAGACAGAGCAGATTTGAAAGTCTCTTTTTGTGGAATTTGCAAGTGGAGATTTCAAGCGCTTTGAGGCCAAAAGCAGAAAAGGAAATATTTTCCTATAAAAACTCGACAGAATCTTTCTCAGAAACTGCTCTGGGATGTGTGCGTTCAACTCACAGAGTTTAACTTTTCTTTTCATTCAGCAGTTTGGAAACACTCTGTTTGGAAAGTCTGCACGTGGATATTTTGACCTCTTTGAGGCCTTCGTTGGAAACGGGTTTTTTTCATGTAAGGCTAGACAGAAGAAATCTCAGTAACTTCCTTGTGTTGTGTGTATTCAACTGACAGAGTTGAACCTTCCTTTAGACAGAGCAGATTCGAAACACTCTTTTTCTGCAATTTGCAAGTGGAGACTTCAAGCGCTTTGAGGCCAAAGGCAGAAAAGGAAATATCTTCGTATAAAAACCCGACAGAATCATTCTCAGAAACTGCTCTGTGATGTGTGCGTTCAACTCACAGAGTTTAACTTTTCTTTTCATTCAGCAGTTTGGAAACACTCTGTTTGTAAAGTCTGCAAGTGGATATCTTGGCCTCTTAGAGGCCTTCGTTGGAAACGGGTTTTTTCATGTAAGGATAGACAGAGGAATTCCCAGTAACTTCCTTGTGTTGTGTGCATTCAACTCACAGAGTTGAACGATTCTTTACACAGAGCAGATTTGAGACACTCTTTTGGTGGAATTTGTAAGTGGAGAATTCAGCCGCTTTGAGGTCAACGGTAGAAAAGGAAATATCTTCGTATAAAAACTAGACAGAATGATTCTCAGAAACTGTTTTGTGATGTGTGCGTTCAACTCACAGAGTTTAACCTTTCTTTTCAGAGAGCAGTTAGGAAACACTCTGTAAAGTCTGCAAGTGGATATTCAGACCTCTTTGAGGCCTTCGTTGGAAACGGGATTTCTTCATATTATGCTAGACAGATGAATTCTCAGTAACTTCCTTGTGTTGTGTGTATTCAACTCACAGAGTTGAACCGATCCTTTACACAGAGCAGATTTGAAACACTGTTTTTCTGGAATTTGCAAGTGGAGATTTCAGCCGCTTTGAGGTCAATGGTAGAAAAGGAAATATCTTCGTATAAAAACTAGACAGAATGATTCTCAGAAACTCCTTTGTGATGTGTGCGTTCAACTCACAGAGTTTAACCTTTCTTTTCACAGAGCAGTTAGGAAACACTCTGTTTGTGAAGCCTGCCAGTGGATATTCGGACCTCTTTGAGGCCTTCGTTGGAAACGGGATTTCTTCATATTATGCTAGACAGAAGATTTCTCAGTAACTTCTTTGTGTTGTGTGTATGCAACTCACAGAGTTCAACCTTCCTTTAGACAGAGCAGATTTGAAACACTCTTTTTGTGGAATTTGCAAGTGGAGATTTCAAGCGCTTCGATGCCAATGGTAGAAAAGGAAATATCTTCGTATAAAAACAAGACAAACTCGTTCCCAGACACTGCGTAGTGATGTGTGTGTTTAACTCACAGAGTTTAACCTTTCTTTTCATACAGCATTCTGGAAACCCTCTGTTTGTAAAGTCTGCAAGTGGATATTTGGACCTCTTAGATGCCTTCGTTGGAAACGGGATTTCTTCATATAATGCTAGAGGGAAGAATTCTTAGTAACTTCTTTGTGTTGTGTGTATTCAACTGACAGAGTTGAACCTTCCTTTAGACAGAGCAGATTTGAAAGTCTCTTTTTGTGGAATTTGCAAGTGGAGATTTCAAGCGCTTTGAGGCCAAAAGCAGAAAAGGAAATATTTTCCTATAAAACCTCGACAGAATCTTTCTCAGAAACTGCTCTGGGATGTGTGCGTTCAACTCACAGAGTTTAACTTTTCTTTTCATTCAGCAGTTTGGAAACACTCTGTTTGGAAAGTCTGCACGTGGATATTTTGACCTCTTTGAGGCCTTCGTTGGAAACGGGTTTTTTTCATGTAAGGCTAGACAGAAGAAATCTCAGTAACTTCCTTGTGTTGTGTGTATTCAACTGACAGAGTTGAACCTTCCTTTAGACAGAGCAGATTCGAAACACTCTTTTTCTGCAATTTGCAAGTGGAGACTTCAAGCGCTTTGAGGCCAAAGGCAGAAAAGGAAATATCTTCGTATAAAAACCCGACAGAATCATTCTCAGAAACTGCTCTGTGATGTGTGCGTTCAACTCACAGAGTTTAACTTTTCTTTTCATTCAGCAGTTTGGAAACACTCTGTAAAGTCTGCAAGTGGATATCTTGGCCTCTTAGAGGCCTTCGTTGGAAGCGGGTTTTTTCATGTAAGGTTAGACAGAGGAATTCCCAGTAACTTCCTTGTGTTGTGTGCATTCAACTCACAGAAGTTGAATGATTCTTTACACAGAGCAGATTTGAGACACTCTTTTGGTGGAATTTGTAAGTGGAGAATTCAGCCGCTTTGAGGTCAACGGTAGAAAAGGAAATATCTTCGTATAAAAACTAGACAGAATGATTCTCAGAAACTGTTTTGTGATGTGTGCGTTCAACTCACAGAGTTTAACCTTTCTTTTCAAAGAGCAGTTAGGAAGCACTCTGTTTGTAAAGTCTGCAAGTGGATATTCAGACCTCTTTGAGGCCTTCGTTGGAAACGGGATTTCTTCATATTATGCTAGACAGATGAATTCTCAGTAACTTCCTTGTGTTGTGTGTATTCAACTCACAGAGTTGAACGATCCTTTACACAGAGCAGATTTGAAACACTGTTTTTCTGGAATTTGCAAGTGGAGATGTCAGCCGCTTTGAGGTCAATGGTAGAAAAGGAAATATCTTCGTATAAAAACTAGACAGAATGATTCTCAGAAACTCCTTTGTGATGTGTGCGTTCAACTCACAGAGTTTAACCTTTCTTTTCACAGAGCAGTTAGGAAACACTCTGTTTGTGAAGCCTGCCAGTGGATATTCGGACCTCTTTGAGGCCTTCGTTGGAAACGGGATTTCTTCATATTATGCTAGACAAAAGATTTCTCAGTAACTTCTTTGTGTTGTGTATATGCAACTCACAGAGTTCAACCTTCCTTTAGACAGAGCAGATTTGAAACACTCTTTTTGTGGAATTTGCAAGTGGAGATTTCAAGCGCTTCGATGCCAATGGTAGAAAAGGAAATATCTTCGTATAAAAACAAGACAAACTCGTTCCCAGACACTGCGTAGTGATGTGTGTGTTTAACTCACAGAGTTTCACCTTTCTTTTCATACAGCATTCTGGAAACCCTCTGTTTGTAAAGTCTGCAAGTGGATATTTGGACCTCTTAGATGCCTTCGTTGGAAACGGGATTTCTTCATATAATGCTAGAGGGAAGAATTCTTAGTAACTTCTTTGTGTTGTGTGTATTCAACTGACAGAGTTGAACCTTCCTTTAGACAGAGCAGATTTGAAAGTCTCTTTTTGTGGAATTTGCAAGTGGAGATTTCAAGCGCTTTGAGGCCAAAAGCAGAAAAGGAAATATTTTCCTATAAAAACTAGACAGAATCTTTCTCAGAAACTGCTCTGGGATGTGTGTGTTCAACTCACAGAGTTTAACTTTTCTTTTCATTCAGCAGTTTGGAAACACTCTGTTTGGAAAGTCTGCACGTGGATATTTTGACCTCTTTGAGGCCTTCGTTGGAAACGGGTTTTTTTCATGTAAGGCTAGACAGAAGAAATCTCAGTAACTTCCTTGTGTTGTGTGTATTCAACTGACAGAGTTGAACCTTCTTTTAGACAGAGCAGATTCGAAACACTCTTTTTCTGCAATTTGCAAGTGGAGACTTCAAGCGCTTTGAGGCCAAAGGCAGAAAAGGAAATATCTTCGTATAAAAACCCGACAGAATCATTCTCAGAAACTGCTCTGTGATGTGTGCGTTCAACTCACAGAGTTTAACTTTTCTTTTCATTCAGCAGTTTGGAAACACTCTGTTTGTAAAGTCTGCAAGTGGATATCTTGGCCTCTTAGAGGCCTTCGTTGGAAACGGGTTTTTTCATGTAAGGTTAGACAGAGGAATTCCCAGTAACTTCCTTGTGTTGTGTGCATTCAACTCACAGAGTTGAATGATTCTTTACACAGAGCAGATTTGAGACACTCTTTTGGTGGAATTTGTAAGTGGAGAATTCAGCCGCTTTGAGGTCAACGGTAGAAAAGGAAATATCTTCGTATAAAAACTAGACAGAATGATTCTCAGAAACTGTTTTGTGATGTGTGCGTTCAACTCACAGAGTTTAACCTTTCTTTTCAAAGAGCAGTTAGGAAACACTCTGTTTGTAAAGTCTGCAAGTGGATATTCAGACCTCTTTGAGGCCTTCGTTGGAAACGGGATTTCTTCATATTATGCTAGACAGATGAATTCTCAGTAACTTCCTTGTGTTGTGTGTATTCAACTCACAGAGTTGAACGATCCTTTACACAGAGCAGATTTGAAACACTGTTTTTCTGGAATTTGCAAGTGGAGATTTCAGCCGCTTTGAGGTCAATGGTAGAAAAGGAAATATCTTCGTATAAAAACTAGACAGAATGATTCTCAGCAAACTCCTTTGTGATGTGTGCGTTCAACTCACAGAGTTTAACCTTTCTTTTCACAGAGCAGTTAGGAAACACTCTGTTTGTGAAGCCTGCCAGTGGATATTCAGACCTCTTTGAGGCCTTCGTTGGAAACGGGATTTCTTCATATTATGCTAGACAGAAGATTTCTCAGTAACTTCTTTGTGTTGTGTGTATGCAACTCACAGAGTTCAACCTTCCTTTAGACAGAGCAGATTTGAAACACTCTTTTTGTGGAATTTGCAAGTGGAGATTTCAAGCGCTTCGATGCCAATGGTAGAAAAGGAAATATCTTCGTATAAAAACAAGACAAACTCGTTCCCAGACACTGCGTAGTGATGTGTGTGTTTAACTCACAGAGTTTAACCTTTCTTTTCATACAGCATTCTGGAAACCCTCTGTTTGTAAAGTCTGCAAGTGGATATTTGGACCTCTTAGATGCCTTCGTTGGAAACGGGATTTCCTCATATAATGCTAGAGGGAAGAATTCTTAGTAACTTCTTTGTGTTGTGTGTATTCAACTGACAGAGTTGAACCTTCCTTTAGACAGAGCAGATTTGAAAGTCTCTTTTTGTGGAATTTGCAAGTGGAGATTTCAAGCGCTTTGAGGCCAAAAGCAGAAAAGGAAATATTTTCCTATAAAAACTAGACAGAATCATTCTCAGAAACTTCTCTGGGATGTGTGCGTTCAACTCACAGAGTTTAACTTTTCTTTTCATTCAGCAGTTTGGAAACACTCTGTTTGGAAAGTCTGCACGTGGATATTTTGACCTCTTTGAGGCCTTCGTTGGAAACGGGTTTTTTTCATGTAAGGCTAGACAGAAGAAATCTCAGTAACTTCCTTGTGTTGTGTGTATTCAACTGACAGAGTTGAACCTTCCTTTAGACAGAGCAGATTCGAAACACTCTTTTTCTGCAATTTGCAAGTGGAGACTTCAAGCGCTTTGAGGCCAAAGGCAGAAAAGGAAATATCTTCGTATAAAAACCCGACAGAATCATTCTCAGAAACTGCTCTGTGATGTGTGCGTTCAACTCACAGAGTTTAACTTTTCTTTTCATTCAGCAGTTTGGAAACACTCTGTTTGTAAAGTCTGCAAGTGGATATCTTGGCCTCTTAGAGGCCTTCGTTGGAAACGGGTTTTTTCATGTAAGGTTAGACAGAGGAATTCCCAGTAACTTCCTTGTGTTGTGTGCATTCAACTCACAGAAGTTGAATGATTCTTTACACAGAGCAGATTTGAGACACTCTTTTGGTGGAATTTGTAAGTGGAGAATTCAGCCGCTTTGAGGTCAACGGTAGAAAAGGAAATATCTTCGTATAAAAACTAGACAGAATGATTCTCAGAAACTGTTTTGTGATGTGTGCGTTCAACTCACAGAGTTTAACCTTTCTTTTCAAAGAGCAGTTAGGAAACACTCTGTTTGTAAAGTCTGCAAGTGGATATTCAGACCTCTTTGAGGCCTTCGTTGGAAACGGGATTTCTTCATATTATGCTAGACAGATGAATTCTCAGTAACTTCCTTGTGTTGTGTGTATTCAACTCACAGAGTTGAACGATCCTTTACACAGAGCAGATTTGAAACACTGTTTTTCTGGAATTTGCAAGTGGAGATTTCAGCCGCTTTGAGGTCAATGGTAGAAAAGGAAATATCTTCGTATAAAAACTAGACAGAATGATTCTCAGAAACTCCTTTGTGATGTGTGCGTTCAACTCACAGAGTTTAACCTTTCTTTTCACAGAGCAGTTAGGAAACACTCTGTTTGTGAAGCCTGCCAGTGGATAATCGGACCTCTTTGAGGCCTTCGTTGGAAACGGGATTTCTTCATATTATGCTAGACAGAAGATTTCTCAGTAACTTCTTTGTGTTGTGTGTATGCAACTCACAGAGTTCAACCTTCCTTTAGAGAGAGCATATTTGAAACACTCTTTTTGTGGAATTTGCAAGTGGAGATTTCAAGCGCTTCGATGCCAATGGTAGAAAAGGAAATATCTTCGTATAAAAACAAGACAAACTCGTTCCCAGACACTGCGTAGTGATGTGTGTGTTTAACTCACAGAGTTTAACCTTTCTTTTCATACAGCATTCTGGAAACCCTGTGTTTGTAAAGTCTGCAAGTGGATATTTGGACCTCTTAGATGCCTTCGTTGGAAACGGGATTTCTTCATATAATGCTAGAGGGAAGAATTCTTAGTAACTTCTTTGTGTTGTGTGTATTCAACTGACAGAGTTGAACCTTCCTTTAGACAGAGCAGATTTGAAAGTCTCTTTCTGTGGAATTTGCAAGTGGAGATTTCAAGCGCTTTGAGGCCAAAAGCAGAAAAGGAAATATTTTCCTATAAAAACTCGACAAAATCTTTCTCAGAAACTGCTCTGGGATGTGTGCGTTCAACTCACAGAGTTTAACTTTTCTTTTCATTCAGCAGTTTGGAAACACTCTGTTTGGAAAGTCTGCACGTGGATATTTTGACCTCTTTGAGGCCTTCGTTGGAAACGGGTTTTTTTCATGTAAGGCTAGACAGAAGAAATCTCAGTAACTTCCTTGTGTTGTGTGTATTCAACTGACAGAGTTGAACCTTCCTTTAGACAGAGCAGATTCGAAACACTCTTTTTCTGCAATTTGCAAGTGGAAACTTCAAGCGCTTTGAGGCCAAAGGCAGAAAAGGAAATATCTTCGTATAAAAACCCGACAGAATCATTCTCAGAAACTGCTCTGTGATGTGTGCGTTCAACTCACAGAGTTTAACTTTTCTTTTCATTCAGCAGTTTGGAAACACTCTGTTTGTAAAGTCTGCAAGTGGATATCTTGGCCTCTTAGAGGCCTTCGTTGGAAACGGGTTTTTTCATGTAAGGTTAGACAGAGGAATTCCCAGTAACTTCCTTGTGTTGTGTGCATTCAACTCACAGAGTTGAATGATTCTTTACACAGAGCAGATTTGAGACACTCTTTTGGTGGAATTTGTAAGTGGAGAATTCAGCCGCTTTGAGGTCAACGGTAGAAAAGGAAATATCTTCGTATAAAAACTAGACAGAATGATTCTCAGAAACTGTTTTGTGATGTGTGCGTTCAACTCACAGAGTTTAACCTTTCTTTTCAAAGAGCAGTTAGGAAACACTCTGTTTGTAAAGTCTGCAAGTGGATATTCAGACCTCTTTGAGGCCTTCGATGGAAACGGGATTTCTTCATATTATGCTAGACAGATGAATTCTCAGTAACTTCCTTGTGTTGTGTGTATTCAACTCACAGAGTTGAACGATCCTTTACACAGAGCAGATTTGAAACACTGTTTTTCTGGAATTTGCAAGTGGAGATTTCAGCCGCTTTGAGGTCAATGGTAGAAAAAGAAATATCTTCGTATAAAAACTAGACAGAATGATTCTCAGAAACTCCTTTGTGATGTGTGCGTTCAACTCACAGAGTTTAACCTTTCTTTTCACAGAGCAGTTAGGAAACACTCTGTTTGTGAAGCCTGCCAGTGGATATTCGGACCTCTTTGAGGCCTTCGTTGGAAACGGGATTTCTTCATATTATGCTAGACAGAAGATTTCTCAGTAACTTCTTTGTGTTGTGTGTATGCAACTCACAGAGTTCAACCTTCCTTTAGACAGAGCAGATTTGAAACACCCTTTTTGTGGAATTTGCAAGTGGAGATTTCAAGCGCTTCGATGCCAATGGTAGAAAAGGAAATATCTTCGCATAAAAACAAGACAAACTCGTTCCCAGACACTGCGTAGTGATGTGTGTGTTTAACTCACAGAGTTTCACCTTTCTTTTCATACAGCATTCTGGAAACCCTCTGTTTGTAAAGTCTGCAAGTGGATATTTGGACCTCTTAGATGCCTTCGTTGGAAACGGGATTTCTTCATATAATGCTAGAGGGAAGAATTCTTAGTAACTTCTTTGTGTTGTGTGTATTCAACTGACAGAGTTGAACCTTCCTTTAGACAGAGCAGATTTGAAAGTCTCTTTTTGTGGAATTTGCAAGTGGAGATTTCAAGCGCTTTGAGGCCAAAAGCAGAAAAGGAAATATTTTCCTATAAAAACTAGACAGAATCTTTCTCAGAAACTGCTCTGGGATGTGTGCGTTCAACTCACAGAGTTTAACTTTTCTTTTCATTCAGCAGTTTGGAAACACTCTGTTTGGAAAGTCTGCACGTGGATATTTTGACCTCTTTGAGGCCTTCGTTGGAAACGGGTTTTTTTCATGTAAGGCTAGACAGAAGAAATCTCAGTAACTTCCTTGTGTTGTGTGTATTCAACTGACAGAGTTGAACCTTCCTTTAGACAGAGCAGATTCGAAACACTCTTTTTCTGCAATTTGCAAGTGGAGACTTCAAGCGCTTTGAGGCCAAAGGCAGAAAAGGAAATATCTTCGTATAAAAACCCGACAGAATCATTCTCAGAAACTGCTCTGTGATGTGTGCGTTCAACTCACAGAGTTTAACTTTTCTTTTCATTCAGCAGTTTGGAAACACTCTGTTTGTAAAGTCTGCAAGTGGATATCTTGGCCTCTTAGAGGCCTTCGTTGGAAACGGGTTTTTTCATGTAAGGTTAGACAGAGGAATTCCCAGTAACTTCCTTGTGTTGTGTGCATTCAACTCACAGAGTTGAATGATTCTTTACACAGAGCAGATTTGAGACACTCTTTTGGTGGAATTTGTAAGTGGAGAATTCAGCCGCTTTGAGGTCAACGGTAGAAAAGGAAATATCTTCGTATAAAAACTAGACAGAATGATTCTCAGAAACTGTTTTGTGATGTGTGCTTTCAACTCACAGAGTTTAACCTTTCTTTTCAAAGAGCAGTTAGGAAACACTCTGTTTGTAAAGTCTGCAAGTGGATATTCAGACCTCTTTGAGGCCTTCGTTGGAAACGGGATTTCTTCATATTATGCTAGACAGATGAATTCTCAGTAACTTCCTTGTGTTGTGTGTATTCAACTCACAGAGTTGAACGATCCTTTACACAGAGCAGATTTGAAACACTGTTTTTCTGGAATTTGCAAGTGGAGATTTCAGCCGCTTTGAGGTCAATGGTAGAAAAGGAAATATCTTCGTATAAAAACTAGACAGAATGATTCTCAGAAACTCCTTTGTGATGTGTGCGTTCAACTCACAGAGTTTAACCTTTCTTTTCACAGAGCAGTTAGGAAACACTCTGTTTGTGAAGCCTGCCAGTGGATATTCGGACCTCTTTGAGGCCTTCGTTGGAAACGGGATTTCTTCATATTATGCTAGACAGAAGATTTCTCAGTAACTTCTTTGTGTTGTGTGTATGCAACTCACAGAGTTCAACCTTCCTTTAGACAGAGCAGATTTGAAACACTCTTTTTGTGGAATTTGCAAGTGGAGATTTCAAGCGCTTCGATGCCAATGGTAGAAAAGGAAATATCTTCGTATAAAAACAAGACAAACTCGTTCCCAGACACTGCGTAGTGATGTGTGTGTTTAACTCACAGAGTTTCACCTTTCTTTTCATACAGCATTCTGGAAACCCTCTGTTTGTAAAGTCTGCAAGTGGATATTTGGACCTCTTAGATGCCTTCGTTGGAAACGGGATTTCTTCATATAATGCTAGAGGGAAGAATTCTTAGTAACTTCTTTGTGTTGTGTGTATTCAACTGACAGAGTTGAACCTTCCTTTAGACAGAGCAGATTTGAAAGTCTCTTTTTGTGGAATTTGCAAGTGGAGATTTCAAGCGCTTTGAGGCCAAAAGCAGAAAAGGAAATATTTTCCTATAAAAACTAGACAGAATCTTTCTCAGAAACTGCTCTGGGATGTGTGCGTTCAACTCACAGAGTTTAACTTTTCTTTTCATTCAGCAGTTTGGAAACACTCTGTTTGGAAAGTCTGCACGTGGATATTTTGACCTCTTTGAGGCCTTCGTTGGAAACGGGTTTTTTTAATGTAACGCTAGACAGAAGAAATCTCAGTAACTTCCTTGTGTTGTGTGTATTCAACTGACAGAGTTGAACCTTCCTTTAGACAGAGCAGATTCGAAACACTCTTTTTCTGCAATTTGCAAGTGGAGACTTCAAGCGCTTTGAGGCCAAAGGCAGAAAAGGAAATATCTCGTATAAAAACCCGACAGAAATCATTCTCAGAAACTGCTCTGTGATGTGTGCGTTCAACTCACAGAGTTTAACTTTTCTTTTCATTCAGCAGTTTGGAAACACTCTGTTTGTAAAGTCTGCAAGTGGATATCTTGGCCTCTTAGAGGCCTTCGTTGGAAACGGGTTTTTTCATGTAAGGTTAGACAGAGGAATTCCCAGTAACTTCCTTGTGTTGTGTGCATTCAACTCACAGAGTTGAATGATTCTTTACACAGAGCAGATTTGAGACACTCTTTTGGTGGAATTTGTAAGTGGAGAATTCAGCCGCTTTGAGGTCAACGGTAGAAAAGGAAATATCTTCGTATAAAAACTAGACAGAATGATTCTCAGAAACTGTTTTGTGATGTGTGCGTTCAACTCACAGAGTTTAACCTTTCTTTTCAAAGAGCAGTTAGGAAACACTCTGTTTGTAAAGTCTGCAAGTGGATATTCAGACCTCTTTGAGGCCTTCGTTGGAAACGGGATTTCTTCATATTATGCTAGACAGATGAATTCTCAGTAACTTCCTTGTGTTGTGTGTATTCAACTCACAGAGTTGAACGATCCTTTACACAGAGCAGATTTGAAACACTGTTTTTCTGGAATTTGCAAGTGGAGATTTCAGCCGCTTTGAGGTCAATGGTAGAAAAAGAAATATCTTCGTATAAAAACTAGACAGAATGATTCTCAGAAACTCCTTTGTGATGTGTGCGTTCAACTCACAGAGTTTAACCTTTCTTTTCACAGAGCAGTTAGGAAACACTCTGTTTGTGAAGCCTGCCAGTGGATATTCGGACCTCTTTGAGGCCTTCGTTGGAAACGGGATTTCTTCATATTATGCTAGACAGAAGATTTCTCAGTAACTTCTTTGTGTTGTGTGTATGCAACTCACAGAGTTCAACCTTCCTTTAGACAGAGCAGATTTGAAACACTCTTTTTGTGGAATTTGCAAGTGGAGATTTCAAGCGCTTCGATGCCAATGGTAGAAAAGGAAATATCTTCGTATAAAAACAACACAAACTCGTTCCCAGACACTGCGTAGTGATGTGTGTGTTTAACTCACAGAGTTTAACCTTTCTTTTCATACAGCATTCTGGAAACCCTCTGTTTGTAAAGTCTGCAAGTGGATATTTGGACCTCTTAGATGCCTTCGTTGGAAACGGGATTTCTTCATATAATGCTAGAGGGAAGAATTCTTAGTAACTTCTTTGTGTTGTGTGTATTCAACTGACAGAGTTGAACCTTCCTTTAGACAGAGCAGATTTGAAAGTCTCTTTTTGTGGAATTTGCAAGTGGAGATTTCAAGCGCTTTGAGGCCAAAAGCAGAAAAGGAAATATTTTCCTATAAAAACTAGACAGAATCATTCTCAGAAACTGCTCTGTGATGTGTGTGTTCAACTCACAGAGTTTAACTTTCTTTTCATTCAGCAGTTTGGAAACACTCTGTTTGGAAAGTCTGCACGTGGATATTTTGACCTCTTTGAGGCCTTCGTTGGAAACGGGTTTTTTCATATAAGGCTAGACAGAAGAAATCTCAGTAACTTCCTTGTGTTGTGTGTATTCAACTGACAGAGTTGAACCTTCCTTTAGACAGAGCAGATTCGAAACACTCTTTTTCTGCAATTTCCAAGTGGAGACTTCAAGCGCTTTGAGGCCAAAGGCAGAAAAGGAAATATCTTCGTATAAAAACCCGACAGAATCATTCTCAGAAACTGCTCTGTGATGTGTGCGTTCAACTCACAGAGTTTAACTTTTCTTTTCATTCAGCAGTTTGGAAACACTCTGTTTGTAAAGTCTGCAAGTGGATATCTTGGCCTCTTAGATGCCTTCGTTGGAAACGGTTTTTTTCATGTAAGGTTAGACAGAGGAATTCCCAGTAACTTCCTTGTGTTGTGTGCATTCAACTCACAGAGTTGAACGATTCTTTACACAGAGCAGATTTGAGACACTCTTTTGGTGGAATTTGTAAGTGGAGAATTCAGCCGCTTTGAGGTCAACGGTAGAAAAGGAAATATCTTCGTATAAAAACTAGACAGAATGATTCTCAGAAACTGTTTTGTGATGTGTGCGTTCAACTCACAGAGTTTAACCTTTCTTTTCAAAGAGCAGTTAGGAAACACTCTGTTTGTAAAGTCTGCAAGCGGATATTCAGACCTCTTTGAGGCCTTCGTTGGAAACGGGATTTCTTCATATTATGCTAGACAGATGAATTCTCAGTAACTTCCTTGTGTTGTGTGTATTCAACTCACAGAGTTGAACGATCCTTTACACAGAGCAGATTTGAAACACTGTTTTTCTGGAATTTGCAAGTGGAGATTTCAGCCGCTTTGAGGTCAATGGTAGAAAAGGAAATATCTTCGTATAAAAACTAGACAGAATGATTCTCAGAAACTCCTTTGTGATGTGTGCGTTCAACTCACAGAGTTTAACCTTTCTTTTCACAGAGCAGTTAGGAAACACTCTGTTTGTGAAGCCTGCCAGTGGATATTCGGACCTCTTTGAGGCCTTCGTTGGAAACGGGATTTCTTCGTATTATGCTAGACAGAAGATTTCTCAGTAACTTCTTTGTGTTGTGTGTATGCAACTCACAGAGTTCAACCTTCCTTTAGACAGAGCAGATTTGAAACACTCTTTTTGTGGAATTTGCAAGTGGAGATTTCAAGCGCTTCGATGCCAATGGTAGAAAAGGAAATATCTTCGTATAAAAACAAGACAAACTCGTTCCCAGACACTGCGTAGTGATGTGTGTGTTTAACTCACAGAGTTTAACCTTTCTTTTCATACAGCATTCTGGAAACCCTCTGTTTGTAAAGTCTGCAAGTGGATATTTGGACCTCTTAGATGCCTTCGTTGGAAACGGGATTTCTTCATATAATGCTAGAGGGAAGAATTCTTAGTAACTTATTTGTGTTGTGTGTATTCAACTGACAGAGTTGAACCTTCCTTTAGACAGAGCAGATTTGAAAGTCTCTTTTTGTGGAATTTGCAAGTGGAGATTTCAAGCGCTTTGAGGCCAAAAGCAGAAAAGGAAATATTTTCCTATAAAAACTAGACAGAATCATTCTCAGAAACTGCTCTGTGATGTGTGTGTTCAACTCACAGAGTTTAACTTTCTTTTCATTCAGCAGTTTGGAAACACTCTGTTTGGAAAGTCTGCACGTGGATATTTTGACCTCTTTGAGGCCTTCGTTGGAAACGGGTTTTTTTCATGTAAGGCTAGACAGAAGAAATCTCAGTAACTTCCTTGTGTTGTGTGTATTCAACTGACAGAGTTGAACCTTCCTTTAGACAGAGCAGATTCGAAACACTCTTTTTCTGCAATTTGCAAGTGGAGACTTCAAGTGCTTTGAGGCCAAAGGCAGAAAAGGAAATATCTTCGTATAAAAACCCGACAGAATCATTCTCAGAAACTGCTCTGTGATGTGTGCGTTCAACTCACAGAGTTTAACTTTTCTTTTCATTCAGCAGTTTGGAAACACTCTGTTTGTAAAGTCTGCAAGTGGATATCTTGGCCTCTTAGAGGCCTTCGTTGGAAACGGGTTTTTTCATGTAAGGATAGACAGAGGAATTCCCAGTAACTTCCTTGTGTTGTGTGCATTCAACTCACAGAGTTGAATGATTCTTTACACAGAGCAGATTTGAGACACTCTTTTGGTGGAATTTGTAAGTGGAGAATTCAGCCGCTTTGAGGTCAACGGTAGAAAAGGAAATATCTTCGTATAAAAACTAGACAGAATGATTCTCAGAAACTGTTTTGTGATGTGTGCGTTCAACTCACAGAGTTTAACCTTTCTTTTCAGAGAGCAGTTAGGAAACACTCTGTTTGTAAAGTCTGCAAGCGGATATTCAGACCTCTTTGAGGCCTTCGTTGGAAACGGGATTTCTTCATATTATGCTAGACAGATGAATTCTCAGTAACTTTCCTTGTGTTGTGTGTATTCAACTCACAGAGTTGAACGATCCTTTACACAGAGCAGATTTGAAACACTGTTTTTCTGGAATTTGCAAGTGGAGATTTCAGCCGCTTTGAGGTCAATGGTAGAAAAGGAAATATGCTTCGTATAAAAACTAGACAGAATGATTCTCAGAAACTCCTTTGTGATGTGTGCGTTCAACTCACAGAGTTTAACCTTTCTTTTCACAGAGCAGTTAGGAAACACTCTGTTTGTGAAGCCTGCCAGTGGATATTCGGACCTCTTTGAGGCCTTCGTTGGAAACGGGATTTCTTCATATTATGCTAGACAGAAGATTTCTCAGTAACTTCTTTGTGTTGTGTGTATGCAACTCACAGAGTTCAACCTTCCTTTAGACAGAGCAGATTTGAAACACTCTTTTTGTGGAATTTGCAAGTGGAGATTTCAAGCGCTTCAATGCCAATGGTAGAAAAGGAAATATCTTCGTATAAAAACAAGACAAACTCGTTCCCAGACACTGCGTAGTGATGTGTGTGTTTAACTCACAGAGTTTAACCTTTCTTTTCATACAGCATTCTGGAAACCCTGTGTTTGTAAAGTCTGCAAGTGGATATTTGGACCTCTTAGATGCCTTCGTTGGAAACGGGATTTCTTCATATAATGCTAGAGGGAAGAATTCTTAGTAACTTCTTTGTGTTGTGTGTATTCAACTGACAGAGTTGAACCTTCCTTTAGACAGAGCAGATTTGAAAGTCTCTTTTTGTGGAATTTGCAAGTGGAGATTTCAAGCGCTTTGAGGCCAAAAGCAGAAAAGGAAATATTTTCCTATAAAAACTCGACAGAATCTTTCTCAGAAACTGCTCTGGGATGTGTGCGTTCAACTCACAGAGTTTAACTTTTCTTTTCATTCAGCAGTTTGGAAACACTCTGTTTGGAAAGTCTGCACGTGGATATTTTGACCTCTTTGAGGCCTTCGTTGGAAACGGGTTTTTTTCATGTAAGGCTAGACAGAAGAAATCTCAGTAACTTCCTTGTGTTGTGTGTATTCAACTGACAGAGTTGAACCTTCCTTTAGACAGAGCAGATTCGAAACACTCTTTTTCTGCAATTTGCAAGTGGAGACTTCAAGCGCTTTGAGGCCAAAGGCAGAAAAGGAAATATCTTCGTATAAAAACCCGACAGAATCATTCTCAGAAACTGCTCTGTGATATGTGCGTTCAACTCACAGAGTTCAACTTTTCTTTTCATTCAGCAGTTTGGAAACACTCTGTTTGTAAAGTCTGCAAGTGGATATCTTGGCCTCTTAGAGGCCTTCGTTGGAAACGGGTTTTTTCATGTAAGGATAGACAGAGGAATTCCCAGTAACTTCCTTGTGTTGTGTGCATTCAACTCACAGAGTTGAACGATTCTTTACACAGAGCAGATTTGAGACACTCTTTTGGTGGAATTTGTAAGTGGAGAATTCAGCCGCTTTGAGGTCAACGGTAGAAAAGGAAATATCTTCGTATAAAAACTAGACAGAATGATTCTCAGAAACTGTTTTGTGATGTGTGCGTTCAACTCACAGAGTTTAACCTTTCTTTTCAGAGAGCAGTTAGGAAACACTCTGTAAAGTCTGCAAGTGGATATTCAGACCTCTTTGAGGCCTTCGTTGGAAACGGGATTTCTTCATATTATGCTAGACAGATGAATTCTCAGTAACTTCCTTGTGTTGTGTGTATTCAACTCACAGAGTTGAACGATCCTTTACACAGAGCAGATTTGAAACACTGTTTTTCTGGAATTTGCAAGTGGAGATTTCAGCCGCTTTGAGGTCAATGGTAGAAAAGGAAATATCTTCGTATAAAAACTAGACAGAATGATTCTCAGAAACTCCTTTGTGATGTGTGCGTTCAACTCACAGAGTTTAACCTTTCTTTTCACAGAGCAGTTAGGAAACACTCTGTTTGTGAAGCCTGCCAGTGGATATTCAGACCTCTTTCAGGCCTTCGTTGGAAACGGGATTTCTTCATATTATGCTAGACAGAAGATTTCTCAGTAACTTCTTTGTGTTGTGTGTATGCAACTCACAGAGTTCAACCTTCCTTTAGACAGAGCAGATTTGAAACACTCTTTTTGTGGAATTTGCAAGTGGAGATTTCAAGCGCTTCGATGCCAATGGTAGAAAAGGAAATATCTTCGTATAAAAACAAGACAAACTCGTTCCCAGACACTGCGTAGTGATGTGTGTGTTTAACTCACAGAGTTTAACCTTTCTTTTCATACAGCATTCTGGAAACCCTCTGTTTGTAAAGTCTGCAAGTCGATATTTGGACCTCTTAGATGCCTTCGTTGGAAACGGGATTTCTTCATATAATGCTAGAGGGAAGAATTCTTAGTAACTTCTTTGTGTTGTGTGTATTCAACTGACAGAGTTGAACCTTCCTTTAGACAGAGCAGATTTGAAAGTCTCTTTTTGTGGAATTTGCAAGTGGAGATTTCAAGCGCTTTGAGGCCAAAAGCAGAAAAGGAAATATTTTCCTATAAAACCTCGACAGAATCTTTCTCAGAAACTGCTCTGGGATGTGTGCGTTCAACTCACAGAGTTTAACTTTTCTTTTCATTCAGCGTTTGGAAACACTCTGTTTGGAAAGTCTGCACGTGGATATTTTGACCTCTTTGAGGCCTTCGTTGGAAACGGGTTTTTTTCATGTAAGGCTAGACAGAAGAAATCTCAGTAACTTCCTTGTGTTGTGTGTATTCAACTGACAGAGTTGAACCTTCCTTTAGACAGAGCAGATTCGAAACACTCTTTTTCTGCAATTTGCAAGTGGAGACTTCAAGCGCTTTGAGGCCAAAGGCAGAAAAGGAAATATCTTCGTATAAAAACCCGACAGAATCATTCTCAGAAACTGCTCTGTGATGTGTGCGTTCAACTCACAGAGTTTAACTTTTCTTTTCATTCAGCAGTTTGGAAACACTCTGTTTGTAAAGTCTGCAAGTGGATATCTTGGCCTCTTAGAGGCCTTCGTTGGAAACGGGTTTTTTCATGTAAGGTTAGACAGAGGAATTCCCAGTAACTTCCTTGTTTTGTGTGCATTCAACTCACAGAGTTGAATGATTCTTTACACAGAGCAGATTTGAGACACTCTTTTGGTGGAATTTGTAAGTGGAGAATTCAGCCGCTTTGAGGTCAACGGTAGAAAAGCAAATATCTTCGCATAAAAACTAGACAGAATGATTCTCAGAAACTGTTTTGTGATGTGTGCGTTCAACTCACAGAGTTTAACCTTTCTTTTCAAAGAGCAGTTAGGAAACACTCTGTTTGTAAAGTCTGCAAGTGGATATTCAGACCTCTTTGAGGCCTTCGTTGGAAACGGGATTTCTTCATATTATGCTAGACAGATGAATTCTCAGTAACTTCCTTGTGTTGTGTGTATTCAACTCACAGAGTTGAACGATCCTTTACACAGAGCAGATTTGAAACACTGTTTTTCTGGAATTTGCAAGTGGAGATTTCAGCCGCTTTGAGGTCAATGGTAGAAAAGGAAATATCTTCGTATAAAAACTAGACAGAATGATTCTCAGAAACTCCTTTGTGATGTGTGCGTTCAACTCACAGGGTTTAACCTTTCTTTTCACAGAGCAGTTAGGAAACACTCTGTTTGTGAAGCCTGCCAGTGGATATTCGGACCTCTTTGAGGCCTTCGTTGGAAACGGGATTTCTTCATATTATGCTAGACAGAAGATTTCTCAGTAACTTCTTTGTGTTGTGTGTATGCAACTCACAGAGTTCAACCTTCCTTTAGACAGAGCAGATTTGAAACACTCTTTTTGTGGAATTTGCAAGTGGAGATTTCAAGCGCTTCGATGCCAATGGTAGAAAAGGAAATATCTTCGTATAAAAACAAGACAAACTCGTTCCCAGACACTGCGTAGTGATGTGTGTGTTTAACTCACAGAGTTTCACCTTTCTTTTCATACAGCATTCTGGAAACCCTCTGTTTGTAAAGTCTGCAAGTGGATATTTGGACCTCTTAGATGCCTTCGTTGCAAACGGGATTTCTTCATATAATGCTAGAGGGAAGAATTCTTAGTAACTTCTTTGTGTTGTGTGTATTCAACTGACAGAGTTGAACCTTCCTTTAGACAGAGCAGATTTGAAAGTCTCTTTTTGTGGAATTTGCAAGTGGAGATTTCAAGCGCTTTGAGGCCAAAAGCAGAAAAGGAAATATTTTCCTATAAAAACTCGACAGAATCTTTCTCAGAAACTGCTCTGGGATGTGTGCGTTCAACTCACAGAGTTTAACTTTTCTTTTCATTCAGCAGTTTGGAAACACTCTGTTTGGAAAGTCTGCACGTGGATATTTTGACCTCTTTGAGGCCTTCGTTGGAAACGGGTTTTTTTCATGTAAGGCTAGACAGAAGAAATCTCAGTAACTTCCTTGTGTTGTGTGTATTCAACTGACAGAGTTGAACCTTCCTTTAGACAGAGCAGATTCGAAACACTCTTTTTCTGCAATTTGCAAGTGGAGACTTCAAGCGCTTTGAGGCCAAAGGCAGAAAAGGAAATATCTTCGTATAAAAACCCGACAGAATCATTCTCAGAAACTGCTCTGTGATGTGTGCGTTCAACTCACAGAGTTTAACTTTTCTTTTCATTCAGCAGTTTGGAAACACTCTGTTTGTAAAGTCTGCAAGTGGATATCTTGGCCTCTTAGAGGCCTTCGTTGGAAACGGGTTTTTTCATGTAAGGTTAGACAGAGGAATTCCCAGTAACTTCCCTTGTGTTGTGTGCATTCAACTCACAGAGTTGAATGATTCTTTACACAGAGCAGATTTGAGACACTCTTTGGGTGGAATTTGTAAGTGGAGAATTCAGCCGCTTTGAGGTCAACGGTAGAAAAGGAAATACCTTCGTATAAAAACTAGACAGAATGATTCTCAGAAACTGTTTTGTGATGTGTGCGTTCAACTCACAGAGTTTAACCTTTCTTTTCAAAGAGCAGTTAGGAAACACTCTGTAAAGTCTGCAAGTGGATATTCAGACCTCTTTGAGGCCTTCGTTGGAAACGGGATTTCTTCATATAATGCTAGAGGGAAGAATTCTTAGTAACTTCTTTGTGTTGTGTGTATTCAACTGACAGAGTTGAACCTTCCTTTAGACAGAGCAGATTTGAAAGTCTCTTTTTGTGGAATTTGCAAGTGGAGATTTCAAGCGCTTTGAGGCCAAAAGCAGAAAAGGAAATATTTTCCTATAAAAACTAGAGAGAATCATTCTCAGAAACTGCTCTGTGATGTGTGTGTTCAACTCACAGAGTTTAACTTTCTTTTCATTCATCAGTTTGGAAACACTCTGTTTGGAAAGTCTGCACGTGGATATTTTGACCTCTTTGAGGCCTTCGTTGGAAACGGGTTTTTTTCATGTAAGGCTAGACAGAAGAAATCTCAGTAACTTCCTTGTGTTGTGTGTATTTAACTGACAGAGTTGAACCTTCCTTTAGACAGAGCAGATTCGAAACGCTCTTTTTCTGCAATTTGCAAGTGGAGACTTCAAGCGCTTTGAGGCCAAGGCAGAAAAGGAAATATCTTCGTATAAAAACCCGACAGAATCATTCTCAGAAACTGCTCTGTGATGTGTGCGTTCAACTCACAGAGTTTAACTTTTCTTTTCATTCAGCAGTTTGGAAACACTCTGTTTGTAAAGTCTGCAAGTGGATATCTTGGCCTCTTAGAGGCCTTCGTTGGAAACGCGTTTTTTCATGTAAGGTTAGACAGAGGAATTCCCAGTAACTTCCTTGTGTTGTGTGCATTCAACTCACAGAGTTGAATGATTCTTTACACAGAGCAGATTTGAGACACACTTTTGGTGGAATTTGTAAGTGGAGAATTCAGCCGCTTTGAGGTCAACGGTAGAAAAGGAAATATCTTCGTATAAAAACTAGAAAGAATGATTCTCAGAAACTGTTTTGTGATGTGTGCGTTCAACTCACAGAGTTTAACCTTTCTTTTCAAAGAGCAGTTAGGAAACACTCTGTTTGTAAAGTCTGCAAGTGGATATTCAGACCTCTTTGAAGCCTTCGTTGGAAACGGGATTTCATCATATTATGCTAGACAGATGAATTCTCAGTAACTTCCTTGTGTTGTGTGTATTCAACTCACAGAGTTGAACGATCCTTTACACAGAGCAGATTTGAAACACTGTTTTTCTGGAATTTGCAAGTGGAGATTTCAGCCGCTTTGAGGTCAATGGTAGAAAAGGAAATATCTTCGTATAAAAACTAGACAGAATGATTCTCAGAAACTCCTTTGTGATGTGTGCGTTCAACTCACAGAGTTTAACCTTTCTTTTCACAGAGCAGTTAGGAAACACTCTGTTTGTGAAGCCTGCCAGTGGATATTCGGACCTCTTTGAGGCCTTCGTTGGAAACGGGATTTCTTCATATTTTGCTAGACAGAAGATTTCTCAGTAACTTCTTTGTGTTGTGTGTATGCAACTCACAGAGTTCAACCTTCCTTTAGACAGAGCAGATTTGAAACACTCTTTTTGTGGAATTTGCAAGTGGAAATTTCAAGCGCATCGATGCCAATGGTAGAAAAGGAAATATCTTCGTATAAAAACAAGACAAACTCGTTCCCAGACACTGCGTAGTGATGTGTGTGTTTAACTCACAGAGTTTAACCTTTCTTTTCATACAGCATTCTGGAAACCCTCTGTTTGTAAAGTCTGCAAGTGGATATTTGGACCTCTTAGATGCCTTCGTTGGAAACGGGATTTCCTCATATAATGCTAGAGGGAAGAATTCTTAGTAACTTCTTTGTGTTGTGTGTATTCAACTGACAGAGTTGAACCTTCCTTTAGACAGAGCAGATTTGAAAGTCTCTTTTTGTGGAATTTGCAAGTGGAGATTTCAAGCGCTTTGAGGCCAAAAGCAGAAAAGGAAATATTTTCCTATAAAAACTCGACAGAATCTTTCTCAGAAACTGCTCTGGGATGTGTGCGTTCAACTCACAGAGTTTAACTTTTCTTTTCATTCAGCAGTTTGGAAACACTCTGTTTGGAAAGTCTGCACGTGGATATTTTGACCTCTTTGAGGCCTTCGTTGGAAACGGGTGTTTTTCATGTAAGGCTAGACAGAAGAAATCTCAGTAACTTCCTTGTGTTGTGTGTATTCAACTGACAGAGTTGAACCTTCCTTTAGACAGAGCAGATTCGAAACACTCTTTTTCTGCAATTTGCAAGTGGAGACTTCAAGCGCTTTGAGGCCAAAGGCAGAAAAGGAAATATCTTCGTATAAAAACCCGACAGAATCATTCTCAGAAACTGCTCTGTGATGTGTGCGTTCAACTCACAGAGTTTAACTTTTCTTTTCATTCAGCAGTTTGGAAACACTCTGTTTGTAAAGTCTGCAAGTGGATATCTTGGCCTCTTAGAGGCCTTCGTTGGAAACGGGTTTTTTCATGTAAGGTTAGACAGAGGAATTCCCAGTAACTTCCTTGTGTTGTGTGCATTCAACTCACAGAGTTGAATGATTCTTTACACAGAGCAGATTTGAGACACTCTTTTGGTGGAATTTGTAAGTGGAGAATTCAGCCGCTTTGAGGTCAACGGTAGAAAAGGAAATATCTTCGTATAAAAACTAGACAGAATGATTCTCAGAAACTGTTTTGTGATGTGTGCGTTCAACTCACAGAGTTTAACCTTTCTTTTCAAAGAGCAGTTAGGAAACACTCTGTTTGTAAAGTCTGCAAGTGGATATTCAGACCTCTTTGAGGCCTTCGTTGGAAACGGGATTTCTTCATATTATGCTAGACAGATGAATTCTCAGTAACTTCCTTGTGTTGTGTGTATTCAACTCACAGAGTTGAACGATCCTTTACACAGAGCAGATTTGAAACACTGTTTTTCTGGAATTTGCAAGTGGAGATTTCAGCCGCTTTGAGGTCAATGGTAGAAAAGGAAATATCTTCGTATAAAAACTAGACAGAATGATTCTCAGAAACTCCTTTGTGATGTGTGCGTTCAACTCACAGAGTTTAACCTTTCTTTTCACAGAGCAGTTAGGAAACACTCTGTTTGTGAAGCCTGCCAGTGGATATTCGGACCTCTTTGAGGCCTTCGTTGGAAACGGGATTTCTTCATATTATGCTAGACAGAAGATTTCTCAGTAACTTCTTTGTGTTGTGTGTATGCAACTCACAGAGTTCAACCTTCCTTTAGACAGAGCAGATTTGAAACACTCTTTTTGTGGAATTTGCAAGTGGAGATTTCAAGCGCTTCGATGCCAATGGTAGAAAAGGAAATATCTTCGTATAAAAACAAGACAAACTCGTTCCCAGACACTGCGTAGTGATGTGTGTGTTTAACTCACAGAGTTTAACCTTTCTTTTCATACAGCATTCTGGAAACCCTGTGTTTGTAAAGTCTGCAAGTGGATATTTGGACCTCTTAGATGCCTTCGTTGGAAACGGGATTTCTTCATATAATGCTAGAGGGAAGAATTCTTAGTAACTTCTTTGTGTTGTGTGTATTCAACTGACAGAGTTGAACCTTCCTTTAGACAGAGCAGATTTGAAAGTCTCTTTTTGTGGAATTTGCAAGTGGAGATTTCAAGCGCTTTGAGGCCAAAAGCAGAAAAGGAAATATTTTCCTATAAAAACTAGACAGAATCTTTCTCAGAAACTGCTCTGGGATGTGTGCGTTCAACTCACAGAGTTTAACTTTTCTTTTCATTCAGCAGTTTGGAAACACTCTGTTTGGAAAGTCTGCACGTGGATATTTTGACCTCTTTGAGGCCTTCGTTGGAAACGGGTTTTTTTCATGTAAGGCTAGACAGAAGAAATCTCAGTAACTTCCTTGTGTTGTGTGTATTCAACTGACAGAGTTGAACCTTCCTTTAGACAGAGCAGATTCGAAACACTCTTTTTCTGCAATTTGCAAGTGGAGACTTCAAGCGCTTTGAGGCCAAAGGCAGAAAAGGAAATATCTTCGTATAAAAACCCGACAGAATCATTCTCAGAAACTGCTCTGTGATGTGTGCGTTCAACTCACAGAGTTTAACTTTTCTTTTCATTCAGCAGTTTGGAAACACTCTGTTTGTAAAGTCTGCAAGTGGATATCTTGGCCTCTTAGAGGCCTTCGTTGGAAACGGGTTTTTTCATGTAAGGATACACACAGGAATTCCCAGTAACTTCCTTGTGTTGTGTGCATTCAACTCACAGAGTTGAATGATTCTTTACACAGAGCAGATTTGAGACACTCTTTTGGTGGAATTTGTAAGTGGAGAATTCAGCCGCTTTGAGGTCAACGGTAGAAAAGGAAATATCTTCGTATAAAAACTAGACAGAATGATTCTCAGAAACTGTTTTGTGATGTGTGCGTTCAACTCACAGAGTTTAACCTTTCTTTTCAAAGAGCAGTTAGGAAACACTCTGTTTGTAAAGTCTGCAAGAGGATATTCAGACCTCTTTGAGGCCTTCGTTGGAAACGGGATTTCTTCATATTATGCTAGACAGATGAATTCTCAGTAACTTCCTTGTGTTGTGTGTATTCAACTCACAGAGTTGAACGATCCTTTACACAGAGCAGATTTGAAACACTGTTTTTCTGGAATTTGCAAGTGGAGATTTCAGCCGCTTTGAGGTCAATGGTAGAAAAGGAAATATCTTCGTACAAAAACTAGACAGAATGATTCTCAGAAACTCCTTTGTGATGTGTGCGTTCAACTCACAGAGTTTAACCTTTCTTTTCACAGAGCAGTTAGGAAACACTCTGTTTGTGAAGCCTGCCAGTGGATATTCGGACCTCTTTGAGGCCTTCGTTGGAAACGGGATTTCTTCATATTATGCTATTCAGAAGATTTCTCAGTAACTTCTTTGTGTTGTGTGTATGCAACTCACAGAGTTCAACCTTCCTTTAGACAGAGCAGATTTGAAACACTCTTTTTGTGGAATTTGCAAGTGGAGATTTCAAGCGCTTCGATGCCAATGGTAGAAAAGGAAATATCTTCGTAGAAAAACAAGACAAACTCGTTCCCAGACACTGCGTAGTGATGTGTGTGTTTAACTCACAGAGTTTCACCTTTCTTTTCATACAGCATTCTGGAAACCCTGTGTTTGTAAAGTCTGCAAGTGGATATTTGGACCTCTTAGATGCCTTCGTTGGAAACGGGATTTCTTCATATAATGCTAGAGGGAAGAATTCTTAGTAACTTCTTTGTGTTGTGTGTATTCAACTGACAGAGTTGAACCTTCCTTTAGACAGAGCAGATTTGAAAGTCTCTTTTTGTGGAATTTGCAAGTGGAGATTTCAAGCGCTTTGAGGCCAAAAGCAGAAAAGGAAATATTTTCCTATAAAAACTCGACAGAATCTTTCTCAGAAACTGCTCTGGGATGTGTGCGTTCAACTCACAGAGTTTAACTTTTCTTTTCATTCAGCAGTTTGGAAACACTCTGTTTGGAAAGTCTGCACGTGGATATTTTGACCTCTTTGAGGCCTTCGTTGGAAACGGGTTTTTTTCATGTAAGGCTAGACAGAAGAAATCTCAGTAACTTCCTTGTGTTGTGTGTATTCAACTGACAGAGTTGAACCTTCCTTTAGACAGAGCAGATTCGAAACACTCTTTTTCTGCAATTTGCAAGTGGAGACTTCAAGCGCTTTGAGGCCAAAGGCAGAAAAGGAAATATCTTCGTATAAAAACCCGACAGAATCATTCTCAGAAACTGCTCTGTGATGTGTGCGTTCAACTCACAGAGTTTAACTTTTCTTTTCATTCAGCAGTTTGGAAACACTCTGTTTGTAAAGTCTGCAAGTGGATATCTTGGCCTCTTAGAGGCCTTCGTTGGAAACGGGTTTTTTCATGTAAGGTTAGACAGAGGAATTCCCAGTAACTTCCTTGTGTTGTGTGCATTCAACTCACAGAGTTGAATGATTCTTTACACAGAGCAGATTTGAGACACTCTTTTGGTGGAATTTGTAAGTGGAGAATTCAGCTGCTTTGAGGTCAACGGTAGAAAAGGAAATATCTTCGTATAAAAACTAGACAGAATGATTCTCAGAAACTGTTTTGTGATGTGTGCATTCAACTCACAGAGTTTAACCTTTCTTTTCAAAGAGCAGTTAGGAAACACTCTGTTTGTAAAGTCTGCAAGTGGATATTCAGACCTCTTTGAGGCCTTCGTTGGAAACGGGATTTCTTCATATTATGCTAGACAGAATAATTCTCAGTAACTTCCTTGTGTTGTGTGTATTCAACTCACAGAGTTGAACGATCCTTTACACAGAGCAGATTTGAAACACTGTTTTTCTGGAATTTGCAAGTGGAGATTTCAGCTGCTTTGAGGTCAATGGTAGAAAAGGAAATATCTTCGTATAAAAACTAGACAGAATGATTCTCAGAAACTCCTTTGTGATGTGTGCGTTCAACTCACAGAGTTTAACCTTTCTTTTCACAGAGCAGTTAGGAAACACTCTGTTTGTGAAGCCTGCCAGTGGATATTCGGACCTCTTTGAGGCCTTCGTTGGAAACGGGATTTCTTCATATTATGCTAGACAGAAGATTTCTCAGTAACCTCTTTGTGTTGTGTGTATGCAACTCACAGAGTTCAACCTTCCTTTAGACAGAGCAGATTTGAAATACTCTTTTTGTGGAATTTGCAGGTGGAGATTTCAAGCGCTTTGAGGCCAAAAGCAGAAAAGGAAATATTTTCCTATAAAAACTAGACAGAATCTTTCTCAGAAACTGCTCTGTGATGTGTGCGTTCAACTCACAGAGTTTAACTTTTCTTTTCATTCAGCAGTTTGGAAACACTCTGTTTGTAAAGTCTGCAAGTGGATATCTTGGCCTCTTAGAGGCCTTCGTTGGAAACGGGTTTTTTCATGTAAGGATAGACAGAGGAATTCCCAGTAACTTCCTTGTGTTGTGAGCATTCAACTCACAGAGTTGAATGATTCTTTACACAGAGCAGATTTGAGACACTCTTTTGGTGGAATTTGTAAGTGGAGAATTCAGCCGCTTTGAGGTCAACGGTAGAAAAGGAAATATCTTCGTATAAAAACTAGACAGAATGATTCTCAGAAACTGTTTTGTGATGTGTGCGTTCAACTCACAGAGTTTAACCTTTCTTTTCAAAGAGCAGTTAGGAAACACTCTGTTTGTAAAGTCTGCAAGTGGATATTCAGACCTCTTTGAGGCCTTCGTTGGAAACGGGATTTCTTCATATTATGCTAGACAGATGAATTCTCAGTAACTTCCTTGTGTTGTGTGTATTCAACTCACAGAGTTGAACGATCCTTTACACAGAGCAGATTTGAAACACTGTTTTTCTGGAATTTGCAAGTGGAGATTTCAGCCACTTTGAGGTCAATGGTAGAAAAGGAAATATCTTCGTATAAAAACTAGACAGAATGATTCTCAGAAACTCCTTTGTGATGTGTGCGTTCAACTCACAGAGTTTAACCTTTCTTTTCACAGAGCAGTTAGGAAACACTCTGTTTGTGAAGCCTGCCAGTGGATAATCGGACCTCTTTGAGGCCTTCGTTGGAAACGGGATTTCTTCATATTATGCTAGACAGAAGATTTCTCAGTAACTTCTTTGTGTTGTGTGTATGCAACTCACAGAGTTCAACCTTCCTTTAGAGAGAGCATATTTGAAACACTCTTTTTGTGGAATTTGCAAGTGGAGATTTCAAGCGCTTCGATGCCAATGGTAGAAAAGGAAATATCTTCGTATAAAAACAAGACAAACTCGTTCCCAGACACTGCGTAGTGATGTGTGTGTTTAACTCACAGAGTTTAACCTTTCTTTTCATACAGCATTCTGGAAACCCTGTGTTTGTAAAGTCTGCAAGTGGATATTTGGACCTCTTAGATGCCTTCGTTGGAAACGGGATTTCTTCATATAATGCTAGAGGGAAGAATTCTTAGTAACTTCTTTGTGTTGTGTGTATTCAACTGACAGAGTTGAACCTTCCTTTAGACAGAGCAGATTTGAAAGTCTCTTTCTGTGGAATTTGCAAGTGTAGATTTCAAGCGCTTTGAGGCCAAAAGCAGAAAAGGAAATATTTTCCTATAAAAACTCGACAGAATCTTTCTCAGAAACTGCTCTGGGATGTGTGCGTTCAACTCACAGAGTTTAACTTTTCTTTCCATTCAGCAGTTTGGAAACACTCTGTTTGGAAAGTCTGCACGTGGATATTTTGACCTCTTTGAGGCCTTCGTTGGAAACGGGTTTTTTTCATGTAAGGCTAGACAGAAGAAATCTCAGTAACTTCCTTGTGTTGTGTGTATTCAACTGACAGAGTTGAACCTTCCTTTAGACAGAGCAGATTCGAAACACTCTTTTTCTGCAATTTGCAAGTGGAGACTTCAAGCGCTTTGAGGCCAAAGGCAGAAAAGGAAATATCTTCGTATAAAAACCCGACAGAATCATTCTCAGAAACTGCTCTGTGATGTGTGCGTTCAACTCACAGAGTTTAACTTTTCTTTTCATTCAGCAGTTTGGAAACACTCTGTTTGTAAAGTCTGCAAGTGGATATCTTGGCCTCTTAGAGGCCTTCGTTGGAAACGGGTTTTTTCATGTAAGGTTAGACAGAGGAATTCCCAGTAACTTCCTTGTGTTGTGTGCATTCAACTCACAGAGTTGAATGATTCTTTACACAGAGCAGATTTGAGACACTCTTTGGGTGGAATTTGTAAGTGGAGAATTCAGCTGCTTTGAGGTCAACGGTAGAAAAGGAAATATCTTCGTATAAAAACTAGACAGAATGATTCTCAGAAACTGTTTTGTGATGTGTGCGTTCAACTCACAGAGTTTAACCTTTCTTTTCAAAGAGCAGTTAGGAAACACTCTGTTTGTAAAGTCTGCAAGTGGATATTCAGACCTCTTTGAGGCCTTCGTTGGAAACGGGATTTCTTCATATTATGCTAGACAGATGAATTCTCAGTAACTTCCTTGTGTTGTGTGTATTCAACTCACAGAGTTGAACGATCCTTTACACAGAGCAGATTTGAAACACTGTTTTTCTGGAATTTGCAAGTGGAGATTTCAGCCGCTTTGAGGTCAATGGTAGAAAAGGAAATATCTTCGTATAAAAACTAGACAGAATGATTCTCAGAAACTCCTTTGTGATGTGTGCGTTCAACTCACAGAGTTTAACCTTTCTTTTCACAGAGCAGTTAGGAAACACTCTGTTTGTGAAGCCTGCCAGTGGATATTCGGACCTCTTTGAGGCCTTCGTTGGAAACGGGATTTCTTCATATTATGCTAGACAGAAGATTTCTCAGTAACTTCTTTGTGTTGTGTGTATGCAACTCACAGAGTTCAACCTTCCTTTAGACAGAGCAGATTTGAAACACTCTTTTTGTGGAATTTGCAAGTGGAGATTTCAAGCGCTTCGATGCCAATGGTAGAAAAGGAAATATCTTCGTATAAAAACAAGACAAACTCGTTCCCAGACACTGCGTAGTGATGTGTGTGTTTAACTCACAGAGTTTCACCTTTCTTTTCATACAGCATTCTGGAAACCCTCTGTTTGTAAAGTCTGCAAGTGGATATTTGGACCTCTTAGATGCCTTCGTTGGAAACGGGATTTCTTCATATAATGCTAGAGGGAAGAATTCTTAGTAACTTCTTTGTGTTGTGTGTATTCAACTGACAGAGTTGAACCTTCCTTTAGACAGAGCAGATTTGAAAGTCTCTTTTTGTGGAATTTGCAAGTGGAGATTTCAAGCGCTTTGAGGCCAAAAGCAGAAAAGGAAATATTTTCCTATAAAAACTAGACAGAATCATTCTCAGAAACTGCTCTGTGATGTGTGTGTTCAACTCACAGAGTTTAACTTTCTTTTCATTCAGCAGTTTGGAAACACTCTGTTTGGAAAGTCTGCACGTGGATATTTTGACCTCTTTGAGGCCTTCGTTGGAAACGGGTTTTTTTCATGTAAGGCTAGACAGAAGAAATCTCAGTAACTTCCTTGTGTTGTGTGTATTTAACTGACAGAGTTGAACCTTCCTTTAGACAGAGCAGATTCGAAACGCTCTTTTTCTGCAATTTGCAAGTGGAGACTTCAAGCGCTTTGAGGCCAAGGCAGAAAAGGAAATATCTTCGTATAAAAACCCGACAGAATCATTCTCAGAAACTGCTCTGTGATGTGTGCGTTCAACTCACAGAGTTTAACTTTTCTTTTCATTCAGCAGTTTGGAAACACTCTGTTTGTAAAGTCTGCAAGTGGATATCTTGGCCTCTTAGAGGCCTTCGTTGGAAACGCGTTTTTTCATGTAAGGTTAGACAGAGGAATTCCCAGTAACTTCCTTGTGTTGTGTGCATTCAACTCACAGAGTTGAATGATTCTTTACACAGAGCAGATTTGAGACACACTTTTGGTGGAATTTGTAAGTGGAGAATTCAGCCGCTTTGAGGTCAACGGTAGAAAAGGAAATATCTTCGTATAAAAACTAGAAAGAATGATTCTCAGAAACTGTTTTGTGATGTGTGCGTTCAACTCACAGAGTTTAACCTTTCTTTTCAAAGAGCAGTTAGGAAACACTCTGTTGTAAAGTCTGCAAGTGGATATTCAGACCTCTTTGAAGCCTTCGTTGGAAACGGGATTTCATCATATTATGCTAGACAGATGAATTCTCAGTAACTTCCTTGTGTTGTGTGTATTCAACTCACAGAGTTGAACGATCCTTTACACAGAGCAGATTTGAAACACTGTTTTTCTGGAATTTGCAAGTGGAGATTTCAGCCGCTTTGAGGTCTATGGTAGAAAAGGAAATATCTTCGTATAAAAACTGGACAGAATGATTCTCAGAAACTCCTTTGTGATGTGTGCGTTCAACTCACAGAGTTTAACCTTTCTTTTCACAGAGCAGTTAGGAAACACTCTGTTTGTGAAGCCTGCCAGTGGATATTCGGACCTCTTTGAGGCCTTCGTTGGAAACGGGATTTCTTCATATTATGCTAGACAGAAGATTTCTCAGTAACTTCTTTGTGTTGTGTGTATGCAACTCACAGAGTTCAACCTTCCTTTAGACAGAGCAGATTTGAAACACTCTTTTTGTGGAATTTGCAAGTGGAGATTTCAAGCGCTTCGATGCCAATGGTAGAAAAGGAAATATCTTCGTATAAAAACAAGACAAACTCGTTCCCAGACACTGCGTAGTGATGTGTGTGTTTAACTCACAGAGTTTAACCTTTCTTTTCATACAGCATTCTGGGAACCCTCTGTTTGTAAAGTCTGCAAGTGGATATTTGGACTTCTTAGATGCCTTCGTTGGAAACGGGATTTCTTCATATAATGCTAGAGGGAAGAATTCTTAGTAACTTCTTTGTGTTGTGTGTATTCAACTGACAGAGTTGAACCTTCCTTTAGACAGAGCAGATTTGAAAGTCTCTTTTTGTGGAATTTGCAAGTGGAGATTTCAAGCGCTTTGAGGCCAAAAGCAGAAAAGGAAATATTTTCCTATAAAAACTAGAGAGAATCTTTCTCAGAAACTGCTCTGGGATGTGTGCGTTCAACTCACAGAGTTTAACTTTTCTTTTCATTCAGCAGTTTGGAAACACTCTGTTTGGAAAGTCTGCACGTGGATATTTTGACCTCTTAGAGGCCTTCGTTGGAAACGGGTTTTTTTCATGTAAGGCTAGACAGAAGAAATCTCAGTAACTTCCTTGTGTTGTGTGTATTCAACTGACAGAGTTGAACCTTCCTTTAGACAGAGCAGATTCGAAACACTCTTTTTCTGCAATTTGCAAGTGGAGACTTCAAGCGCTTTGAGGCCAAAGGCAGAAAAGGAAATATCTTCGTATAAAAACCCGACAGAATCATTCTCAGAAACTGCTCTGTGATGTGTGCGTTCAACTCACAGAGTTTAACTTTTCTTTTCATTCAGCAGTTTGGAAACACTCTGTTTGTAAAGTCTGCAAGTGGATATCTTGGCCTCTTAGAGGCCTTCGTTGGAAACGGGTTTTATCATGTAAGGTTAGACAGAGGAATTCCCAGTAACTTCCTTGTGTTGTGTGCATTCAACTCACAGAGTTGAATGATTCTTTACACAGAGCAGATTTGAGACACTCTTTTGGTGGAATTTGTAAGTGGAGAATTCAGCCGCTTTGAGGTCAACGGTAGAAAAGGAAATATCTTCGTATAAAAACTAGACAGAATGATTCTCAGAAACTGTTTTGTGATGTGTGCGTTCAACTCACAGAGTTTAACCTTTCTTTTCAAAGAGCAGTTAGGAAACACTCTGTTTGTAAAGTCTGCAAGTGGATATTCAGACCTCTTTGAGACCTTCGTTGGAAACGGGATTTCTTCATATTATGCTAGACAGATGAATTCTCAGTAACTTCCTTGTGTTGTGTGTATTCAACTCACAGAGTTGAACGATCCTTTACACAGAGCAGATTTGAAACACTGTTTTTCTGGAATTTGCAAGTGGAGATTTCAGCCGCTTTGAGGTCAATGGTAGAAAAGGAAATATCTTCGTATAAAAACTAGACAGAATGATTCTCAGAAACTCCTTTGTGATGTGTGCGTTCAACTCACAGAGTTTAACCTTTCTTTTCACAGAGCAGTTAGGAAACACTCTGTTTGTGAAGCCTGCCAGTGGATAATCGGACCTCTTTGAGGCCTTCGTTGGAAACGGGATTTCTTCATATTATGCTAGACAGAAGATTTCTCAGTAACTTCTTTGTGTTGTGTGTATGCAACTTACAGAGTTCAACCTTCCTTTAGAGAGAGCATATTTGAAACACTCTTTTTGTGGAATTTGCAAGTGGAGATTTCAAGCGCTTCGATGCAAATGGTAGAAAAGGAAATATCTTCGTAGAAAAACAAGACAAACTCGTTCCCAGACACTGCGTAGTGATGTGTGTGTTTAACTCACAGAGTTTAACCTTTCTTTTCATACAGCATTCTGGAAACCCTGTGTTTGTAAAGTCTGCAAGTGGATATTTGGACCTCTTAGATGCCTTCGTTGGAAACGGGATTTCTTCATATAATGCTAGAGGGAAGAATTCTTAGTAACTTCTTTGTGTTGTGTGTATTCAACTGACAGAGTTGAACCTTCCTTTAGACAGAGCAGATTTGAAAGTCTCTTTTTGTGGAATTTGCAAGTGGAGATTTCAAGCGCTTTGAGGCCAAAAGCAGAAAAGGAAATATTTTCCTATAAAAACTCGACAGAATCTTTCTCAGAAACTGCTCTGGGATGTGTGCGTTCAACTCACAGAGTTTAACTTTTCTTTTCATTCAGCAGTTTGGAAACACTCTGTTTGGAAAGTCTGCACGTGGATATTTTGACCTCTTTGAGGCCTTCGTTGGAAACGGGTTTTTTTCTTGTAAGGCTAGACAGAAGAAATCTCAGTAACTTCCTTGTGTTGTGTGTATTCAACTGACAGAGTTGAACCTTCCTTTAGACAGAGCAGATTCGAAACACTCTTTTTCTGCAATTTGCAAGTGGAGACTTCAAGCGCTTTGAGGCCAAAGGCAGAAAAGGAAATATCTTCGTATAAAAACCCGACAGAATCATTCTCAGAAACTGCTCTGTGATGTGTGCGTTCAACTCACAGAGTTTAACTTTTCTTTTCATTCAGCAGTTTGGAAACACTCTGTTTGTAAAGTCTGCAAGTGGATATCTTGGCCTCTTAGAGGCCTTCGTTGGAAGCGGGTTTTTTCATGTAAGGATAGACAGAGGAATTCCCAGTAACTTCCTTGTGTTGTGTGCATTCAACTCACAGAGTTGAATGATTCTTTACACAGAGCAGATTTGAGACACTCTTTTGGTGGAATTTGTAAGTGGAGAATTCAGCCGCTTTGAGGTCAACGGTAGAAAAGCAAATATCTTCGTATAAAAACTAGACAGAATGATTCTCAGAAACTGTTTTGTGATGTGTGCGTTCAACTCACAGAGTTTAACCTTTCTTTTCAAAGAGCAGTTAGGAAACACTCTGTTTGTAAAGTCGGCAAGTGGATATTCAGACCTCTTTGAGGCCTTCGTTGGAAACGGGATTTCTTCATATTATGCTAGACAGATGAATTCTCAGTAACTTCCTTGTGTTGTGTGTATTCAACTCACAGAGTTAAACGATCCTTTACACAGAGCAGATTTGAAACACTGTTTTTCTGGAATTTGCAAGTGGAGATTTCAGCCGCTTTGAGGTCAATGGTAGAAAAGGAAATATCTTCGTATAAAAACTAGACAGAATGATTCTCAGAAACTCCTTTGTGATGTGTGCGTTCAACTCACAGAGTTTAACCTTTCTTTTCACAGAGCAGTTAGGAAACACTCTGTTTGTGAAGCCTGCCAGTGGATATTCGGACCTCTTTGAGGCCTTCGTTGGAAACGGGATTTCTTCATATTATGCTAGACAGAAGATTTCTCAGTAACTTCTTTGTGTTGTGTGTATGCAACTCACAGAGTTCAACCTTCCTTTAGACAGAGCAGATTTGAAACACTCTTTTTGTGGAATTTGCAAGTGGAGATTTCAAGCGCTTCGATGCCAATGGTAGAAAAGGAAATATCTTCGTATAAAAACAAGACAAACTCGTTCCCAGACACTGCGTAGTGATGTGTGTGTTTAACTCACAGAGTTTCACCTTTCTTTTCATACAGCATTCTGGAAACCCTGTGTTTGTAAAGTCTGCAAGTGGATATTTGGACCTCTTAGATGCCTTCGTTGGAAACGGGATTTCTTCATATAATGCTAGAGGGAAGAATTCTTAATAACTTCTTTGTGTGGTGTGTATTCAACTGACAGAGTTGAACCTTCCTTTAGACAGAGCAGATTTGAAAGTCTCTTTTTGTGGAATTTGCAAGTGGAGATTTCAAGCGCTTTGAGGCCAAAAGCAGAAAAGGAAATATTTTCCTATAAAAACTCGACAGAATCTTTCTCAGAAACTGCTCTGGGATGTGTGCGTTCAACTCACAGAGTTTAACTTTTCTTTTCATTCAGCAGTTTGGAAACACTCTGTTTGGAAAGTCTGCACGTGGATATTTTGACCTCTTTGAGGCCTTCGTTGGAAACGGGTTTTTTTCATGTAAGGCTAGACAGAAGAAATCTCAGTAACTTCCTTGTGTTGTGTGTATTCAACTGACAGAGTTGAACCTTCCTTTAGACAGAGCAGATTCGAAACACTCTTTTTCTGCAATTTGCAAGTGGAGACTTCAAGCGCTTTGAGGCCAAAGGCAGAAAAGGAAATATCTTCGTATAAAAACCCGACAGAATCATTCTCAGAAACTGCTCTGTGATGTGTGCGTTCAACTCACAGAGTTTAACTTTTCTTTTCATTCAGCAGTTTGGAAACACTCTGTTTGTAAAGTCTGCAAGTGGATATCTTGGCCTCTTAGAGGCCTTCGTTGGAAACGGGTTTTTTCATGTAAGGATAGACAGAGGAATTCCCAGTAACTTCCTTGTGTTGTGTGCATTCAACTCACAGAGTTGAACGATTCTTTACACAGAGCAGATTTGAGACACTCTTTTGGTGGAATTTGTAAGTGGAGAATTCAGCCGCTTTGAGGTCAACGGTAGAAAAGGAAATATCTTCGTATAAAAACTAGACAGAATGATTCTCAGAAACTGTTTTGTGATGTGTGCGTTCAACTCACAGAGTTTAACCTTTCTTTTCAGAGAGCAGTTAGGAAACACTCTGTAAAGTCTGCAAGTGGATATTCAGACCTCTTTGAGGCCTTCGTTGGAAACGGGATTTCTTCATATTATGCTAGACAGATGAATTCTCAGTAACTTCCTTGTGTTGTGTGTATTCAACTCACAGAGTTGAACGATCCTTTACACAGAGCAGATTTGAAACACTGTTTTTCTGGAATTTGCAAGTGGAGATTTCAGCCGCTTTGAGGTCAATGGTAGAAAAGGAAATATCTTCGTATAAAAACTAGACAGAATGATTCTCAGAAACTCCTTTGTGATGTGTGCGTTCAACTCACAGAGTTTAACCTTTCTTTTCACAGAGCAGTTAGGAAACACTCTGTTTGTGAAGCCTGCCAGTGGATATTCGGACCTCTTTCAGGCCTTCGTTGGAAACGGGATTTCTTCATATTATGCTAGACAGAAGATTTCTCAGTAACTTCTTTGTGTTGTGTGTATGCAACTCACAGAGTTGAACCTTCCTTTAGACAGAGCAGATTTGAAACACTCTTTTTGTGGAATTTGCAAGTGGAGATTTCAAGCGCTTCGATGCCAATGGTAGAAAAGGAAATATCTTCGTATAAAAACAAGACAAACTCGTTCCCAGACACTGCGTAGTGATGTGTGTGTTTAACTCACAGAGTTTAACCTTTCTTTTCATACAGCATTCTGGAAACCCTCTGTTTGTAAAGTCTGCAAGTCGATATTTGGACCTCTTAGATGCCTTCGTTGGAAACGGGATTTCTTCATATAATGCTAGAGGGAAGAATTCTTAGTAACTTCTTTGTGTTGTGTGTATTCAACTGACAGAGTTGAACCTTCCTTTAGACAGAGCAGATTTGAAAGTCTCTTTTTGTGGAATTTGCAAGTGGAGATTTCAAGCGCTTTGAGGCCAAAAGCAGAAAAGGAAATATTTTCCTATAAAAACTCGACAGAATCATTCTCAGAAACTGCTCTGTGATGTGTGCGTTCAACTCACAGAGTTTAACTTTTCTTTTCATTCAGCAGTTTGGAAACACTGTTTGGAAAGTCTGCACGTGGATATTTTGACCTCTTTGAGGCCTTCGTTGGAAACGGGTTTTTTTCATGTAAGGCTAGACAGAAGAAATCTCAGTAACTTCCTTGTGTTGTGTGTATTCAACTGACAGAGTTGAACCTTCCTTTAGACAGAGCAGATTCGAAACACTCTTTTTCTGCAATTTGCAAGTGGAGACTTCAAGCGCTTTGAGGCCAAAGGCAGAAAAGGAAATATCTTCGTATAAAAACCCGACAGAATCATTCTCAGAAACTGCTCTGTGATGTGTGCGTTCAACTCACAGAGTTTAACTTTTCTTTTCATTCAGCAGTTTGGAAACACTCTGTTTGTAAAGTCTGCAAGTGGATATCTTGGCCTCTTAGAGGCCTTCGTTGGAAACGGGTTTTTTCATGTAAGGATAGACAGAGGAATTCCCAGTAACTTCCTTGTGTTGTGTGCATTCAACTCACAGAGTTGAATGATTCTTTACACAGAGCAGATTTGAGACACTCTTTTGGTGGAATTTGTAAGTGGAGAATTCAGCCGCTTTGAGGTCAACGGTAGAAAAGGAAATATCTTCGTATAAAAACTAGACAGAATGATTCTCAGAAACTGTTTTTTGATGTGTGCGTTCAACTCACAGAGTTTAACCTTTCTTTTCAAAGAGCAGTTAGGAAACACTCTGTTTGTAAAGTCTGCAAGTGGATATTGAGACCTCTTTGAGGCCTTCGTTGGAAACGGGATTTCTTCATATTATGCTAGACAGAGAAATTCTCAGTAACTTCCTTGTGTTGTGTGTATTCAACTCACAGAGTTGAACGATCCTTTACACAGAGCAGATTTGAAACACTGTTTTTCTGGAATTTGCAAGTGGAGATTTCAGCCGCTTTGAGGTCAATGGTAGAAAAGGAAATATCTTCGTATAAAAACTAGACAGAATGATTCTCAGAAACTCCTTTGTGATGTGTGCGTTCAACTCACAGAGTTTAACCTTTCTTTTCACAGAGCAGTTAGGAAACACTCTGTTTGTGAAGCCTGCCAGTGGATATTCGGACCTCTTTGAGGCCTTCGTTGGAAACGGGATTTCTTCATATTATGCTAGACAGAAGATTTCTCAGTGACTTCTTCGTGTTGTGTGTATGCAACTCACAGAGTTCAACCTTCCTTTAGACAGAGCAGATTTGAAACACTCTTTTTGTGGAATTTGCAAGTGGAGATTTCAAGCGCTTCGATGCCAATGGTAGAAAAGGAAATATCTTCGTAGAAAAACAAGACAAACTCGTTCCCAGACACTGCGTAGTGATGTGTGTGTTTAACTCACAGAGTTTCACCTTTCTTTTCATACAGCATTCTGGAAACCCTCTGTTTGTAAAGTCTGCAAGTGGATATTTGGACCTCTTAGATGCCTTCGTTGGAAACGGGATTTCTTCATATAATGCTAGAGGGAAGAATTCTTAGTAACTTCTTTGTGTTGTGTGTATTCAACTGACAGAGTTGAACCTTCCTTTAGACAGAGCAGATTTGAAAGTCTCTTTCTGTGGAATTTGCAAGTGGAGATTTCAAGCGCTTTGAGGCCAAAAGCAGAAAAGGAAATATTTTCCTATAAAAACTCGACAGAATCTTTCTCAGAAACTGCTCTGGGATGTGTGCGTTCAACTCACAGAGTTTAACTTTTCTTTTCATTCAGCAGTTTGGAAACACTCTGTTTGGAAAGTCTGCACGTGGATATTTTGACCTCTTTGAGGCCTTCGTTGGAAACGGGTTTTTTTCATGTAAGGCTAGACAGAAGAAATCTCAGTAACTTCCTTGTGTTGTGTGTATTCAACTGACAGAGTTGAACCTTCCTTTAGACAGAGCAGATTCGAAACACTCTTTTTCTGCAATTTGCAAGTGGAGACTTCAAGCGCTTTGAGGCCAAAGGCAGAAAAGGAAATATCTTCGTATAAAAACCCGACAGAATCATTCTCAGAAACTGCTCTGTGATGTGTGCGTTCAACTCACAGAGTTTAACTTTTCTTTTCATTCAGCAGTTTGGAAACACTCTGTTTGTAAAGTCTGCAAGTGGATATCTTGGCCTCTTAGAGGCCTTCGTTGGAAGCGGGTTTTTTCATGTAAGGATAGACAGAGGAATTCCCAGTAACTTCCTTGTGTTGTGTGCATTCAACTCACAGAGTTGAATGATTCTTTACACAGAGCAGATTTGAGACACTCTTTTGGTGGAATTTGTAAGTGGAGAATTCAGCCGCTTTGAGGTCAACGGTAGAAAAGGAAATATCTTCGTATAAAAACTAGACAGAATGATTCTCAGAAACTGTTTTGTGATGTGTGCGTTCAACTCACAGAGTTTAACCTTTCTTTTCAAAGAGCAGTTAGGAAACACTCTGTTTGTAAAGTCTGCAAGTGGATATTCAGACCTCTTTGAGGCCTTCGTTGGAAACGGGATTTCTTCATATTATGCTAGACAGATGAATTCTCAGTAACTTCCTTGTGTTGTGTGTATTCAACTCACAGAGTTGAACGATCCTTTACACAGAGCAGATTTGAAACACTGTTTTTCTGGAATTTGCAAGTGGAGATTTCAGCCGCTTTGAGGTCAATGGTAGAAAAGGAAATATCTTCGTATAAAAACTAGACAGAATGATTCTCAGAAACTCCTTTGTGATGTGTGCGTTCAACTCACAGAGTTTAACCTTTCTTTTCACAGAGCAGTTAGGAAACACTCTGTTTGTGAAGCCTGCCAGTGGATATTCGGACCTCTTTGAGGCCTTCGTTGGAAACGGGATTTCTTCATATTATGCTAGACAGAAGATTTCTCAGTAACTTCTTTGTGTTGTGTGTATGCAACTCACAGAGTTCAACCTTCCTTTAGACAGAGCAGATTTGAAACACTCTTTTTGTGGAATTTGCAAGTGGAGATTTCAAGCGCTTCGATGCCAATGGTAGAAAAGGAAATATCTTCGTATAAAAACAAGACAAACTCGTTCCCAGACACTGCGTAGTGATGTGTGTGTTTAACTCACAGAGTTTAACCTTTCTTTTCATACAGCATTCTGGAAACCCTGTGTTTGTAAAGTCTGCAAGTGGATATTTGGACCTCTTAGATGCCTTCGTTGGAAACGGGATTTCTTCATATAATGCTAGAGGGAAGAATTCTTAGTAACTTCTTTGTGTTGTGTGTATTCAACTGACAGAGTTGAACCTTCCTTTAGACAGAGCAGATTTGAAAGTCTCTTTTTGTGGAATTTGCAAGTGGAGATTTCAAGCGCTTTGAGGCCAAAAGCAGAAAAGGAAATATTTTCCTATAAAAACTCGACAGAATCTTTCTCAGAAACTGCTCTGGGATGTGTGCGTTCAACTCACAGAGTTTAACTTTTCTTTTCATTCAGCAGTTTGGAAACACTCTGTTTGGAAAGTCTGCACGTGGATATTTTGACCTCTTTGAGGCCTTCGTTGGAAACGGGTTTTTTTCATGTAAGGCTAGACAGAAGAAATCTCAGTAACTTCCTTGTGTTGTGTGTATTCAACTGACAGAGTTGAACCTTCCTTTAGACAGAGCAGATTCGAAACACTCTTTTTCTGCAATTTGCAAGTGGAGACTTCAAGCGCTTTGAGGCCAAAGGCAGAAAAGGAAATATTCTTCGTATAAAAACCCGACAGAATCATTCTCAGAAACTGCTCTGTGATGTGTGAGTTCAACTCACAGAGTTTAACTTTTCTTTTCATTCAGCAGTTTGGAAACACTCTGTTTGTAAAGTCTGCAAGTGGATATCTTGGCCTCTTAGAGGCCTTCGTTGGAAACGGGTTTTTTCATGTAAGGTTAGACAGAGGAATTCCCAGTAACTTCCTTGTGTTGCGTGCATTCAACTCACAGAGTTGAATGATTCTTTACACAGAGCAGATTTGAGACACTCTTTTGGTGGAATTTGTAAGTGGAGAATTCAGCCGCTTTGAGGTCAACGGTAGAAAAGGAAATATCTTCGTATAAAAACTAGACAGAATGATTCTCAGAAACTGTTTTGTGATGTGTGCGTTCAACTCACAGAGTTTAACCTTTCTTTTCAAAGAGCAGTTAGGAAACACACTGTTTGTAAAGTCTGCAAGTGGATATTCAGACCTCTTTGAGGCCTTCGTTGGAAACGGGATTGCTTCATATTATGCTAGACAGATGAATTCTCAGTAACTTCCTTGTGTTGTGTGTATTCAACTCACAGAGTTAAACGATCCTTTACACAGAGCAGATTTGAAACACTGTTTTTCTGGAATTTGCAAGTGGAGATTTCAGCCGCTTTGAGGTCAATGGTAGAAAAGGAAATATCTTCGTATAAAAACTAGACAGAATGATTCTCAGAAACTCCTTTGTGATGTGTGCGTTCAACTCACAGAGTTTAACCTTTCTTTTCACAGAGCAGTTAGGAAACACTCTGTTTGTGAAGCCTGCCAGTGGATATTCGGACCTCTTTGAGGCCTTCGTTGGAAACGGGATTTCTTCATATTATGCTAGACAGAAGATTTCTCAGTAACTTCTTTGTGTTGTGTGTATGCAACTCACAGAGTTCAACCTTCCTTTAGACAGAGCAGATTTGAAACACTCTTTTTGTGGAATTTGCAAGTGGAGATTTCAAGCGCTTCGATGCCAATGGTAGAAAAGGAAATATCTTCGTATAAAAACAAGACAAACTCGTTCCCAGACACTGCGTAGTGATGTGTGTGTTTAACTCACAGAGTTTAACCTTTCTTTTCATACAGCATTCTGGAAACCCTGTGTTTGTAAAGTCTGCAAGTGGATATTTGGACCTCTTAGATGCCTTCGTTGGAAACGGGATTTCTTCATATAATGCTAGAGGGAAGAATTCTTAGTAACTTCTTTGTGTTGTGTGTATTCAACTGACAGAGTTGAACCTTCCTTTAGACAGAGCAGATTTGAAAGTCTCTTTTTGTGGAATTTGCAAGTGGAGATTTCAAGCGCTTTGAGGCCAAAAGCAGAAAAGGAAATATTTTCCTATAAAAACTCGACAGAATCTTTCTCAGAAACTGCTCTGGGATGTGTGCGTTCAACTCACAGAGTTTAACTTTTCTTTTCATTCAGCAGTTTGGAAACACTCTGTTTGGAAAGTCTGCACGTGGATATTTTGACCTCTTTGAGGCCTTCGTTGGAAACGGGTTTTTTTCATGTAAGGCTAGACAGAAGAAATCTCAGTAACTTCCTTGTGTTGTGTGTATTCAACTGACAGAGTTGAACCTTCCTTTAGACAGAGCAGATTCGAAACACTCTTTTTCTGCAATTTGCAAGTGGAGACTTCAAGCGCTTTGAGGCCAAAGGCAGAAAAGGAAATATCTTCGTATAAAAACCCGACAGAATCATTCTCAGAAACTGCTCTGTGATGTGTGCGTTCAACTCACAGAGTTTAACTTTTCTTTTCATTCAGCAGTTTGGAAACACTCTGTTTGTAAAGTCTGCAAGTGGATATCTTGGCCTCTTAGAGGCCTTCGTTGGAAACGGGTTTTTTCATGTAAGGTTAGACAGAGGAATTCCCAGTAACTTCCTTGTGTTGTGTGCATTCAACTCACAGAGTTGAATGATTCTTTACACAGAGCAGATTTGAGACACTCTTTTGGTGGAATTTGTAAGTGGAGAATTCAGCCGCTTTGAGGTCAACGGTAGAAAAGGAAATATCTTCGTATAAAACTAGACAGAATGATTCTCAGAAACTGTTTTGTGATGTGTGCATTCAACTCACAGAGTTTAACCTTTCTTTTCAAAGAGCAGTTAGGAAACACTCTGTTTGTAAAGTCTGCAAGTGGACATTCAGACCTCTTTGAGGCCTTCGTTGGAAACGGGATTTCTTCATATTATGCTAGACAGAGATGATTCTCAGTCCTTCCTTGTGTTGTGTGTATTCAACTCACAGAGTTGAACGATCCTTTACACAGAGCAGATTTGAAACACTGTTTTTCTGGAATTTGCAAGTGGAGATTTCAGCCGCTTTGAGGTCAATGGTAGAAAAGGAAATATCTTCGTATAAAAACTAGACAGATGATTCTCAGAAACTCCTTTGTGATGTGTGCGTTCAACTCACAGAGTTTAACCTTTCTTTTCACAGAGCAGTTAGGAAACACTCTGTTTGTGAAGCCTGCCAGTGGATATTCGGACCTCTTTGAGGCCTTCGTTGGAAACGGGATTTCTTCATATTATGCTAGACAGAAGATTTCTCAGTAACTTCTTTGTGTTGTGTGTATGCAACTCACAGAGTTCAACCTTCCTTTAGACAGAGCAGATTTGAAACACTCTTTTTGTGGAATTTGCAAGTGGAGATTTCAAGCGCTTCGATGCCAATGGTAGAAAAGGAAATATCTTCGTATAAAAACAAGACAAACTCGTTCCCAGACACTGCGTAGTGATGTGTGTGTTTAACTCACAGAGTTTAACCTTTCTTTTCATACAGCATTCTGGAAACCCTCTGTTTGTAAAGTCTGCAAGTGGATATTTGGACCTCTTAGATGCCTTCGTTGGAAACGGGATTTCTTCATATAATGCTAGAGGGAAGAATTCTTAGTAACTTCTTTGTGTTGTGTGTATTCAACTGACAGAGTTGAACCTTCCTTTAGACAGAGCAGATTTGAAAGTCTCTTTTTGTGGAATTTGCAAGTGGAGATTTCAAGCGCTTTGAGGCCAAAAGCAGAAAAGGAAATATTTTCCTATAAAAACTCGACAGAATCTTTCTCAGAAACTGCTCTGTGATGTGTGCGTTCAACTCACAGAGTTTAACTTTTCTTTTCATTCAGCAGTTTGGAAACACTCTGTTTGGAAAGTCTGCACGTGGATATTTTGACCTCTTTGAGGCCTTCGTTGGAAACGGGTTTTTTTCATGTAAGGCTAGACAGAAGAAATCTCAGTAACTTCCTTGTGTTGTGTGTATTCAACTGACAGAGTTGAACCTTCCTTTAGACAGAGCAGATTCGAAACACTCTTTTTCTGCAATTTGCAAGTGGAGACTTCAAGCGCTTTGAGGCCAAAGGCAGAAAAGGAAATATCTTCGTATAAAAACCCGACAGAATCATTCTCAGAAACTGCTCTGTGATGTGTGCGTTCAACTCACAGAGTTTAACTTTTCTTTTCATTCAGCAGTTTGGAAACACTCTGTTTGTAAAGTCTGCAAGTGGATATCTTGGCCTCTTAGAGGCCTTCGTTGGAAACGGGTTTTTTCATTTAAGGTTAGACAGAGGAATTCCCAGTAACTTCCTTGTGTTGTGTGCATTCAACTCACAGAGTTGAATGATTCTTTACACAGAGCAGATTTGAGACACTGTTGGTGGAATTTGTAAGTGGAGAATTCAGCCGCTTTGAGGTCAACGGTAGAAAAGGAAATATCTTCGTATAAAAACTAGACAGAATGATTCTCAGAAACTGTTTTGTGATGTGTGCGTTCAACTCACAGAGTTTAACCTTTCTTTTCAGAGAGCAGTTAGGAAACACTCTGTTTGTAAAGTCTGCAAGTGGATATTCAGACCTCTTTGAGGCCTTCGTTGGAAACGGGATTTCTTCATATTATGCTAGACAGATGAATTCTCAGTAACTTCCTTGTGTTGTGTGTATTCAACTCACAGAGTTGAACGATCCTTTACACAGAGCAGATTTGAAACACTGTTTTTCTGGAATTTGCAAGTGGAGATTTCAGCCGCTTTGAGGTCAATGGTAGAAAAGGAAATATCTTCGTATAAAAACTAGACAGAATGATTCTCAGAAACTCCTTTGTGATGTGTGCGTTCAACTCACAGAGTTTAACCTTTCTTTTCACAGAGCAGTTAGGAAACACTCTGTTTGTGAAGCCTGCCAGTGGATATTCGGACCTCTTTGAGGCCTTCGTTGGAAACGGGATTTCTTCGTATTATGCTAGACAGAAGATTTCTCAGTAACTTCTTTGTGTTGTGTGTATGCAACTCACAGAGTTCAACCTTCCTTTAGACAGAGCAGATTTGAAACACTCTTTTTGTGGAATTTGCAAGTGGAGATTTCAAGCGCTTCGATGCCAATGGTAGAAAAGGAAATATCTTCGTATAAAAACAAGACAAACTCGTTCCCAGACACTGCGTAGTGATGTGTGTGTTTAACTCACAGAGTTTAACCTTTCTTTTCATACAGCATTCTGGAAACCCTCTGTTTGTAAAGTCTGCAAGTGGATATTTGGACCTCTTAGATGCCTTCGTTGGAAACGGGATTTCCTCATATAATGCTAGAGGGAAGAATTCTTAGTAACTTCTTTGTGTTGTGTGTATTCAACTGACAGAGTTGAACCTTCCTTTAGACAGAGCAGATTTGAAAGTCTCTTTTTGTGGAATTTGCAAGTGGAGATTTCAAGCGCTTTGAGGCCAAAAGCAGAAAAGGAAATATTTTCCTATAAAAACTAGACAGAATCTTTCTCAGAAACTGCTCTGGGATGTGTGCGTTCAACTCACAGAGTTTAACTTTTCTTTTCATTCAGCAGTTTGGAAACACTCTGTTTGGAAAGTCTGCACGTGGATATTTTGACCTCTTTGAGGCCTTCGTTGGAAACGGGTTTTTTTCATGTAAGGCTAGACAGAAGAAATCTCAGTAACTTCCTTGTGTTGTGTGTATTCAACTGACAGAGTTGAACCTTCCTTTAGACAGAGCAGATTCGAAACACTCTTTTTCTGCAATTTGCAAGTGGAGACTTCAAGCGCTTTGAGGCCAAAGGCAGAAAAGGAAATATCTTCGTATAAAAACCCGACAGAATCATTCTCAGAAACTGCTCTGTGATGTGTGCGTTCAACTCACAGAGTTTAACTTTTCTTTTCATTCAGCAGTTTGGAAACACTCTGTTTGTAAAGTCTGCAAGTGGATATCTTGGCCTCTTAGAGGCCTTCGTTGGAAACGGGTTTTTTCATGTAAGGTTAGACAGAGGAATTCCCAGTAACTTCCTTGTGTTGTGTGCATTCAACTCACAGAGTTGAATGATTCTTTACACAGAGCAGATTTGAGACACTCTTTTGGTGGAATTTATAAGTGGAGAATTCAGCCGCTTTGAGGTCAACGGTAGAAAAGGAAATATCTTCGTATAAAAACTAGACAGAATGATTCTCAGAAACTGTTTTGTGATGTGTGCGTTCAACTCACAGAGTTTAACCTTTCTTTTCAGAGAGCAGTTAGGAAACACTCTGTTTGTAAAGTCTGCAAGTGGATATTCAGACCTCTTTGAGGCCTTCGTTGGAAACGGGATTTCTTCATATTATGCTAGACAGATGAATTCTCAGTAACTTCCTTGTGTTGTGTGTATTCAACTCACAGAGTTGAACGATCCTTTACACAGAGCAGATTTGAAACACTGTTTTTCTGGAATTTGCAAGTGGAGATTTCAGCCGCTTTGAGGTCAATGGTAGAAAAGGAAATATCTTCGTATAAAAACTAGACAGAATGATTCTCAGAAACTCCTTTGTGATGTGTGCGTTCAACTCACAGAGTTTAACCTTTCTTTTCACAGAGCAGTTAGGAAACACTCTGTTTGTGAAGCCTGCCAGTGGATATTCGGACCTCTTTGAGGCCTTCGTTGGAAACGGGATTTCTTCATATTATGCTAGACAGAAGATTTCTCAGTAACTTCTTTGTGTTGTGTGTATGCAACTCACAGAGTTCAACCTTCCTTTAGACAGAGCAGATTTGAAACACTCTTTTTGTGGAATTTGCAAGTGGAGATTTCAAGCGCTTCGATGCCAATGGTAGAAAAGGAAATATCTTCGTATAAAAACAAGACAAACTCGTTCCCAGACACTGCGTAGTGATGTGTGTGTTTAACTCACAGAGTTTAACCTTTCTTTTCATACAGCATTCTGGAAACCCTCTGTTTGTAAAGTCTGCAAGTGGATATTTGGACCTCTTAGATGCCTTCGTTGGAAACGGGATTTCTTCATATAATGCTAGAGGGAAGAATTCTTAGTAACTTCTTTGTGTTGTGTGTATTCAACTGACAGAGTTGAACCTTCCTTTAGACAGAGCAGATTTGAAAGTCTCTTTTTGTGGAATTTGCAAGTGGAGATTTCAAGCGCTTTGAGGCCAAAAGCAGAAAAGGAAATATTTTCTAATAAAAACTAGACAGAATCTTTCTCAGAAACTGCTCTGGGATGTGTGCGTTCAACTCACAGAGTTTAGCTTTTCTTTTCATTCAGCAGTTTGGAAACACTCTGTTTGGAAAGTCTGCACGTGGATATTTTGACCTCTTTGAGGCCTTCGTTGGAAACGGGTTTTTTTCATGTAAGGCTAGACAGAAGAAATCTCAGTAACTTCCTTGTGTTGTGTGTATTCAACTGACAGAGTTGAACCTTCCTTTAGACAGAGCAGATTCGAAACACTCTTTTTCTGCAATTTGCAAGTGGAGACTTCAAGCGCTTTGAGGCCAAAGGCAGAAAAGGAAATATCTTCGTATAAAAACCCGACAGAATCATTCTCAGAAACTGCTCTGTGATGTGTGCGTTCAACTCACAGAGTTTAACTTTTCTTTTCATTCAGCAGTTTGGAAACACTCTGTTTGTAAAGTCTGCAAGTGGATATCTTGGCCTCTTAGAGGCCTTCGTTGGAAGCGGGTTTTTTCATGTAAGGATAGACAGAGGAATTCCCAGTAACTTCCTTGTGTTGTGTGCATTCAACTCACAGAGTTGAATGATTCTTTACACAGAGCAGATTTGAGACACTCTTTTGGTGGAATTTGTAAGTGGAGAATTCAGCCGCTTTGAGGTCAACGGTAGAAAAGGAAATATCTTCGTATAAAAACTAGACAGAATGATTCTCAGAAACTGTTTTGTGATGTGTGCGTTCAACTCACAGAGTTTAACCTTTCTTTTCAAAGAGCAGTTAGGAAACACTCTGTTTGTAAAGTCTGCAAGTGGATATTCAGACCTCTTTGAGGCCTTCGTTGGAAACGGGATTTCTTCATATTATGCTAGACAGATGAATTCTCAGTAACTTCCTTGTGTTGTGTGTATTCAACTCACAGAGTTGAACGATCCTTTACACAGAGCAGATTTGAAACACTGTTTTTCTGGAATTTGCAAGTGGAGATTTCAGCCGCTTTGAGGTCAATGGTAGAAAAGGAAATATCTTCGTATAAAACTAGACAGAATGATTCTCAGAAACTCCTTTGTGATGTGTGCGTTCAACTCACAGAGTTTAACCTTTCTTTTCACAGAGCAGTTAGGAAACACTCTGTTTGTGAAGCCTGCCAGGGGATATTCGGACCTCTTTGAGGCCTTCGTTGGAAACGGGATTTCTTCATATTATGCTAGACAGAAGATTTCTCAGTAACTTCTTTGTGTTGTGTGTATGCAACTCACAGAGTTCAACCTTCCTTTAGACAGAGCAGATTTGAAACACTCTTTTTGTGGAATTTGCAAGTGGAGATTTCAAGCGCTTCGATGCCAATGGTAGAAAAGGAAATATCTTCGTATAAAAACAAGACAAACTCGTTCCCAGACACTGCGTAGTGATGTGTGTGTTTAACTCACAGAGTTTAACCTTTCTTTTCATACAGCATTCTGGAAACCCTGTGTTTGTAAAGTCTGCAAGTGGATATTTGGACCTCTTAGATGCCTTCGTTGGAAACGGGATTTCTTCATATAATGCTAGAGGGAAGAATTCTTAGTAACTTCTTTGTGTTGTGTGTATTCAACTGACAGAGTTGAACCTTCCTTTAGACAGAGCAGATTTGAAAGTCTCTTTTTGTGGAATTTGCAAGTGGAGATTTCAAGCGCTTTGAGGCCAAAAGCAGAAAAGGAAATATTTTCCTATAAAAACTCGACAGAATCTTTCTCAGAAACTGCTCTGGGATGTGTGCGTTCAACTCACAGAGTTTAACTTTTCTTTTCATTCAGCAGTTTGGAAACACTCTGTTTGGAAAGTCTGCACGTGGATATTTTGACCTCTTTGAAGCCTTCGTTGGAAACGGGTTTTTTTCATGTAAGGCTAGACAGAAGAAATCTCAGTAACTTCCTTGTGTTGTGTGTATTCAACTGACAGAGTTGAACCTTCCTTTAGACAGAGCAGATTCGAAACACTCTTTTTCTGCAATTTGCAAGTGGAGACTTCAAGCGCTTTGAGGCCAAAGGCAGAAAAGGAAATATCTTCGTATAAAAACCCGACAGAATCATTCTCAGAAACTGCTCTGTGATGTGTGCGTTCAACTCACAGAGTTTAACTTTTCTTTTCATTCAGCAGTTTGGAAACACTCTGTTTGTAAAGTCTGCAAGTGGATATCTTGGCCTCTTAGAGGCCTTCGTTGGAAACGGGTTTTTTCATGTAAGGTTAGACAGAGGAATTCCCAGTAACTTCCTTGTGTTGTGTGCATTCAACTCACAGAGTTGAATGATTCTTTACACAGAGCAGATTTGAGACACTCTTTTGGTGGAATTTGTAAGTGGAGAATTCAGCTGCTTTGAGGTCAACGGTAGAAAAGGAAATATCTTCGTATAAAAACTAGACAGAATGATTCTCAGAAACTGTTTTGTGATGTGTGCGTTCAACTCACAGAGTTTAACCTTTCTTTTCAAAGAGCAGTTAGGAAACACTCTGTTTGTAAAGTCTGCAAGTGGATATTCAGACCTCTTTGAGGCCTTCGTTGGAAACGGGGTTTCTTCATATTATGCTAGACAGATGAATTCTCAGTAACTTCCTTGTGTTGTGTGTATTCAACTCACAGAGTTGAACGATCCTTTACACAGAGCAGATTTGAAACACTGTTTTTCTGGAATTTGCAAGTGGAGATTTCAGCCGCTTTGAGGTCAATGGTAGAAAAGGAAATATCTTCGTATAAAAACTAGACAGAATGATTCTCAGAAACTCCTTTGTGATGTTTGCGTTCAACTCACAGAGTTTAACCTTTCTTTTCACAGAGCAGTTAGGAAACACTCTGTTTGTGAAGCCTGCCAGTGGATATTCGGACCTCTTTGAGGCCTTCGTTGGAAACGGGATTTCTTCATATTATGCTAGACAAAAGATTTCTCAGTAACTTCTTTGTGTTGTGTGTATGCAACTCACAGAGTTCAACCTTCCTTTAGACAGAGCAGATTTGAAACACTCTTTTTGTGGAATTTGCAAGTGGAGATTTCAAGCGCTTCGATGCCAATGGTAGAAAAGGAAATATCTTCGTATAAAAACAAGACAAACTCGTTCCCAGACACTGCGTAGTGATGTGTGTGTTTAACTCACAGAGTTTCACCTTTCTTTTCATACAGCATTCTGGAAACCCTCTGTTTGTAAAGTCTGCAAGTGGATATTTGGACCTCTTAGATGCCTTCGTTGGAAACGGGATTTCTTCATATAATGCTAGAGGGAAGAATTCTTAGTAACTTCTTTGTGTTGTGTGTATTCAACTGACAGAGTTGAACCTTCCTTTAGACAGAGCAGATTTGAAAGTCTCTTTTTGTGGAATTTGCAAGTGGAGATTTCAAGCGCTTTGAGGCCAAAAGCAGAAAAGGAAATATTTTCCTATAAAAACTAGACAGAATCTTTCTCAGAAACTGCTCTGGGATGTGTGCGTTCAACTCACAGAGTTTAACTTTTCTTTTCATTCAGCAGTTTGGAAACACTCTGTTTGGAAAGTCTGCACGTGGATATTTTGACCTCTTTGAGGCCTTCGTTGGAAACGGGTTTTTTTCATGTAAGGCTAGACAGAAGAAATCTCAGTAACTTCCTTGTGTTGTGTGTATTCAACTGACAGAGTTGAACCTTCCTTTAGACAGAGCAGATTCGAAACACTCTTTTTCTGCAATTTGCAAGTGGAGACTTCAAGCGCTTTGAGGCCAAAGGCAGAAAAGGAAATATCTTCGTATAAAAACCCGACAGAATCATTCTCAGAAACTGCTCTGTGATGTGTGCGTTCAACTCACAGAGTTTAACTTTTCTTTTCATTCAGCAGTTTGGAAACACTCTGTTTGTAAAGTCTGCAAGTGGATATCTTGGCCTCTTAGAGGCCTTCATTGGAAACGGGTTTTTTCATGTAAGGTTAGACAGAGGAATTCCCAGTAACTTCCTTGTGTTGTGTGCATTCAACTCACAGAGTTGAATGATTCTTTACACAGAGCAGATTTGAGACACTCTTTTGGTGGAATTTGTAAGTGGAGAATTCAGCCGCTTTGAGGTCAACGGTAGAAAAGGAAATATCTTCGTATAAAAACTAGACAGAATGATTCTCAGAAACTGTTTTGTGATGTGTGCGTTCAACTCACAGAGTTTAACCTTTCTTTTCAAAGAGCAGTTAGGAAACACTCTGTTTGTAAAGTCTGCAAGTGGATATTCAGACCTCTTTGAGGCCTTCGTTGGAAACGGGATTTCTTCATATTATGCTAGACAGATGAATTCTCAGTAACTTCCTTGTGTTGTGTGTATTCAACTCACAGAGTTGAACGATCCTTTACACAGAGCAGATTTGAAACACTGTTTTTCTGGAATTTGCAAGTGGAGATTTCAGCCGCTTTGAGGTCAATGGTAGAAAAGGAAATATCTTCGTATAAAAACTAGACAGAATGATTCTCAGAAACTCCTTTGTGATGTGTGCGTTCAACTCACAGAGTTTAACCTTTCTTTTCACAGAGCAGTTAGGAAACACTCTGTGAAGCCTGCCAGTGGATATTCGGACCTCTTTGAGGCCTTCGTTGGAAACGGGATTTCTTCATATTATGCTAGACAGAAGATTTATCAGTAACTTCTTTGGGTTGTGTGTATGCAACTCACAGAGTTCAACCTTCCTTTAGACAGAGCAGATTTGAAACACTCTTTTTGTGGAATTTGGAAGTGGAGATTTCAAGCGCTTCGATGCCAATGGTAGAAAAGGAAATATCTTCGTATAAAAACAAGACAAACTCGTTCCCAGACACTGCGTAGTGATGTGTGTGTTTAACTCACAGAGTTTCACCTTTCTTTTCATACAGCATTCTGGAAACCCTCTGTTTGTAAAGTCTGCAAGTGGATATTTGGACCTCTTAGATGCCTTCTTTGGAAACGGGATTTCTTCATATAATGCTAGAGGGAAGAATTCTTAGTAACTTCTTTGTGTTGTGTGTATTCAACTGACAGAGTTGAACCTTCCTTTAGACAGAGCAGATTTGAAAGTCTCTTTTTGTGGAATTTGCAAGTGGAGATTTCAAGCGCTTTGAGGCCAAAAGCAGAAAAGGAAATATTTTCCTATAAAAACTAGACAGAATCTTTCTCAGAAACTGCTCTGGGATGTGTGCGTTCAACTCACAGAGTTTAACTTTTCTTTTCATTCAGCAGTTTGGAAACACTCTGTTTGGAAAGTCTGCACGTGGATATTTTGACCTCTTTGAGGCCTTCGTTGGAAACGGGTTTTTTTCATGTAAGGCTAGACAGAAGAAATCTCAGTAACTTCCTTGTGTTGTGTGTATTCAACTGACAGAGTTGAACCTTCCTTTAGACAGAGCAGATTCGAAACACTCTTTTTCTGCAATTTGCAAGTGGAGACTTCAAGCGCTTTGAGGCCAAAGGCAGAAAAGGAAATATCTTCGTATAAAAACCCGACAGAATCATTCTCAGAAACTGCTCTGTGATGTGTGCGTTCAACTCACAGAGTTTAACTTTTCTTTTCATTCAGCAGTTTGGAAACACTCTGTTTGTAAAGTCTGCAAGTGGATATCTTGGCCTCTTAGAGGCCTTCGTTGGAAACGGGTTTTTTCATGTAAGGTTAGACAGAGGAATTCCCAGTAACTTCCTTGTGTTGTGTGCATTCAACTCACAGAGTTGAATGATTCTTTACACAGAGCAGATTTGAGACACTCTTTTGGTGGAATTTGTAAGTGGAGAATTCAGCCGCTTTGAGGTCAACGGTAGAAAAGGAAATATCTTCGTATAAAAACTAGAAAGAATGATTCTCAGAAACTGTTTTGTGATGTGTGCGTTCAACTCACAGAGTTTAACCTTTCTTTTCAAAGAGCAGTTAGGAAACACTCTGTTTGTAAAGTCTGCAAGTGGATATTCAGACCTCTTTGAAGCCTTCGTTGGAAACGGGATTTCTTCATATTATGCTAGACAGATGAATTCTCAGTAACTTCCTTGTGTTGTGTGTATTCAACTCACAGAGTTGAACGATCCTTTACACAGAGCAGATTTGAAACACTGTTTTTCTGGAATTTGCAAGTGGAGATTTCAGCCGCTTTGAGGTCAATGGTAGAAAAGGAAATATCTTCGTATAAAAACTAGACAGAATGATTCTCAGAAACTCCTTTGTGATGTGTGCGTTCAACTCACAGAGTTTAACCTTTCTTTTCACAGAGCAGTTAGGAAACACTCTGTTTGTGAAGCCTGCCAGTGGATATTCGGACCTCTTTCAGGCCTTCGTTGGAAACGGGATTTCTTCATATTATGCTAGACAGAAGATTTCTCAGTAACTTCTTTGTGTTGTGTGTATGCAACTCACAGAGTTCAACCTTCCTTTAGACAGAGCAGATTTGAAACACTCTTTTTGTGGAATTTGCAAGTGGAGATTTCAAGCGCTTCGATGCCAATGGTAGAAAAGGAAATATCTTCGTATAAAAACAAGACAAACTCGTTCCCAGACACTGCGTAGTGATGTGTGTGTTTAACTCACAGAGTTTCACCTTTCTTTTCATACAGCATTCTGGAAACCCTCTGTTTGTAAAGTCTGCAAGTCGATATTTGGACCTCTTAGATGCCTTCGTTGGAAACGGGATTTCTTCATATAATGCTAGAGGGAAGAATTTTTAGTAACTTCTTTGTGTTGTGTGTATTCAACTGACAGAGTTGAACCTTCCTTTAGACAGAGCAGATTTGAAAGTCTCTTTTTGTGGAATTTGCAAGTGGAGATTTCAAGCGCTTTGAGGCCAAAAGCAGAAAAGGAAATATTTTCCTATAAAACCTCGACAGAATCTTTCTCAGAAACTGCTCTGGGATGTGTGCGTTCAACTCACAGAGTTTAACTTTTCTTTTCATTCAGCAGTTTGGAAACACTCTGTTTGGAAAGTCTGCACGTGGATATTTTGACCTCTTTGAGGCCTTCGTTGGAAACGGGTTTTTTTCATGTAAGGCTAGACAGAAGAAATCTCAGTAACTTCCTTGTGTTGTGTGTATTCAACTGACAGAGTTGAACCTTCCTTTAGACAGAGCAGATTCGAAACACTCTTTTTCTGCAATTTGCAAGTGGAGACTTCAAGCGCTTTGAGGCCAAAGGCAGAAAAGGAAATATCTTCGTATAAAAACCCGACAGAATCATTCTCAGAAACTGCTCTGTGATGTCTGCGTTCAACTCACAGAGTTTAACTTTTCTTTTCATTCAGCAGTTTGGAAACACTCTGTTTGTAAAGTCTGCAAGTGGATATCTTGGCCTCTTAGAGGCCTTCGTTGGAAACGGGTTTTTTCATGTAAGGATAGACAGAGGAATTCCCAGTAACTTCCTTGTGTTGTGTGCATTCAACTCACAGAGTTGAATGATTCTTTACACAGAGCAGATTTGAGACACTCTTTTGGTGGAATTTGTAAGTGGAGAATTCAGCCGCTTTGAGGTCAACGGTAGAAAAGGAAATATCTTCGTATAAAAACTAGACAGAATGATTCTCAGAAACTGTTTTGTGATGTGTGCGTTCAACTCACAGAGTTTAACCTTTCTTTTCAAAGAGCAGTTAGGAAACACTCTGTTTGTAAAGTCTGCAAGTGGATATTCAGACCTCTTTGAGGCCTTCGTTGGAAACGGGATTTCTTCATATTATGCTAGACAGATGAATTCTCAGTAACTTCCTTGTGTTGTGTGTATTCAACTCACAGAGTTGAACGATCCTTTACACAGAGCAGATTTGAAACACTGTTTTTCTGGAATTTGCAAGTGGAGATTTCAGCCGCTTTGAGGTCAATGGTAGAAAAGGAAATATCTTCGTATAAAAACTAGACAGAATGATTCTCAGAAACTCCTTTGTGATGTGTGCGTTCAACTCACAGAGTTTAACCTTTCTTTTCACAGAGCAGTTAGGAAACACTCTGTTTGTGAAGCCTGCCAGTGGATATTCGGACCTCTTTGAGGCCTTCGTTGGAAACGGGATTTCTTCATATTATTGTAGACAGAAGATTTCTCAGTAACTTCTTTGTGTTGTGTGTATGCAACTCACAGAGTTCAACCTTCCTTTAGACAGAGCAGATTTGAAACACTCTTTTTGTGGAATTTGCAAGTGGAGATTTCAAGCGCTTCGATGCCAATGGTAGAAAAGGAAATATCTTCGTATAAAAACAAGACGAACTCGTTCCCAGACACTGCGTAGTGATGTGTGTGTTTAACTCACAGAGTTTAACCTTTCTTTTCATACGGCATTCTGGAAACCCTCTGTTTGTAAAGTCTGCAAGTGCATATTTGGACCTCTTAGATGCCTTCGTTGGAAACGGGATTTCTTCATATAATGCTAGAGGGAAGAATTCTTAGTAACTTCTTTGTGTTGTGTGTATTCAACTGACAGAGTTGAACCTTCCTTTAGACAGAGCAGATTTGAAAGTCTCTTTTTGTGGAATTTGCAAGTGGAGATTTCAAGCGCTTTGAGGCCAAAAGCAGAAAAGGAAATATTTTCCTATAAAAACTAGACAGAATCATTCTCAGAAACTGCTCTGTGATGTGTGTGTTCAACTCACAGAGTTTAACTTTCTTTTCATTCAGCAGTTTGGAAACATTCTGTTTGGAAAGTCTGCACGTGGATATTTTGACCTCTTTGAGGCCTTCGTTGGAAACGGGTTTTTTTCATGTAAGGCTAGACAGAAGAAATCTCAGTAACTTCCTTGTGTTGTGTGTATTCAACTGACAGAGTTGAACCTTCCTTTAGACAGAGCAGATTCGAAACACTCTTTTTCTGCAATTTGCAAGTGGAGACTTCAAGCGCTTTGAGGCCAAAGGCAGAAAAGGAAATATCTTCGTATAAAAACCCGACAGAATCATTGTCAGAAACTGCTCTGTGATGTGTGCGTTCAACTCACAGAGTTTAACTTTTCTTTTCATTCAGCAGTTTGGAAACACTCTGTTTGTAAAGTCTGCAAGTGGATATCTTGGCCTCTTAGAGGCCTTCGTTGGAAACGGGTTTTTTCATGTAAGGTTAGACAGAGGAATTCCCAGTAACTTCCTTGTGTTGTGTGCATTCAACTCACAGAGTTGAATGATTCTTTACACAGAGCAGATTTGAGACACTCTTTTGGTGGAATTTGTTAGTGGAGAATTCAGCCGCTTTGAGGTCAACGGTAGAAAAGGAAATATCTTCGTATAAAAACTAGACAGAATGATTCTCAGAAACTGTTTTGTGATGTGTGCGTTCAACTCACAGAGTTTAACCTTTCTTTTCAAAGAGCAGTTAGGAAACACTCTGTTTGTAAAGTCTGCAAGTGGATATTCAGACCTCTTTGAGGCCTTCGTTGGAAACGGGATTTCTTCATATTATGCTAGACAGATGAATTCTCAGTAACTTCCTTGTGTTGTGTGTATTCAACTCACAGAGTTGAACGATCCTTTACACAGAGCAGATTTGAAACACTGTTTTTCTGGAATTTGCAAGTGGAGATTTCAGCCGCTTTGAGGTCAATGGTAGAAAAGGAAATATCTTCGTATAAAAACTAGACAGAATGATTCTCAGAAACTCCTTTGTGATGTGTGCGTTCAACTCAGAGAGTTTAACCTTTCTTTTCACAGAGCAGTTAGGAAACACTCTGTTTGTGAAGCCTGCCAGTGGATATTCGGACCTCTTTGAGGCCTTCGCTGGAAACGGGATTTCTTCATATTATGCTAGACAGAAGATTTCTCAGTAACTTCTTTGTGTTGTGTGTATGCAACTCACAGAGTTCAACCTTCCTTTAGACAGAGCAGATTTGAAACACTCTTTTTGTGGAATTTGCAAGTGGAGATTTCAAGCGCTTCGATGCCAATGGTAGAAAAGGAAATATCTTCGTATAAAAACAAGACAAACTCGTTCCCAGACACTGCGTAGTGATGTGTGTGTTTAACTCACAGAGTTTCACCTTTCTTTTCATACAGCATTCTGGAAACCCTGTGTTTGTAAAGTCTGCAAGTGGATATTTGGACCTCTTAGATGCCTTCGTTGGAAACGGGATTTCTTCATATAATGCTAGAGGGAAGAATTCTTAGTAACTTCTTTGTGTTGTGTGTATTCAACTGACAGAGTTGAACCTTCCTTTAGACAGAGCAGATTTGAAAGTCTCTTTTTGTGGAATTTGCAAGTGGAGATTTCAAGCGCTTTGAGTCCAAAAGCAGAAAAGGAAATATTTTCCTATAAAAACTCGACAGAATCTTTCTCAGAAACTGCTCTGTGATGTGTGCGTTCAACTCACAGAGTTTAACTTTTCTTTTCATTCAGCAGTTTGGAAACACTCTGTTTGGAAAGTCTGCACGTGGATATTTTGACCTCTTTGAGGCCTTCGTTGGAAACGGGTTTTTTTCATGTAAGGCTAGACAGAAGAAATCTCAGTAACTTCCTTGTGTTGTGTGTATTCAACTGACAGAGTTGAACCTTCCTTTAGACAGAGCAGATTCGAAACACTCTTTTTCTGCAATTTGCAAGTGGAGACTTCAAGCGCTTTGAGGCCAAAGGCAGAAAAGGAAATATCTTCGTATAAAAACCCGACAGAATCATTCTCAGAAACTGCTCTGTGATGTGTGCGTTCAACTCACAGAGTTTAACTTTTCTTTTCATTCAGCAGTTTGGAAACACTCTGTTTGTAAAGTCTGCAAGTGGATATCTTGGCCTCTTAGAGGCCTTCGTTGGAAACGGGTTTTTTCATGTAAGGTTAGACAGAGGAATTCCCAGTAACTTCCTTGTGTTGTGTGCATTCAACTCACAGAGTTGAATGATTCTTTACACAGAGCAGATTTGAGACACTCTTTGGGTGGAATTTGTAAGTGGAGAATTCAGCCGCTTTGAGGTCAACGGTAGAAAAGGAAATACCTTCGTATAAAAACTAGACAGAATGATTCTCAGAAACTGTTTTGTGATGTGTGCGTTCAACTCACAGAGTTTAACCTTTCTTTTCAAAGAGCAGTTAGGAAACACTCTGTAAAGTCTGCAAGTGGATATTCAGACCTCTTTGAGGCCTTCGTTGGAAACGGGATTTCTTCATATAATGCTAGAGGGAAGAATTCTTAGTAACTTCTTTGTGTTGTGTGTATTCAACTGACAGAGTTGAACCTTCCTTTAGACAGAGCAGATTTGAAAGTCTCTTTTTGTGGAATTTGCAAGTGGAGATTTCAAGCGCTTTGAGGCCAAAAGCAGAAAAGGAAATATTTTCCTATAAAAACTAGAGAGAATCATTCTCAGAAACTGCTCTGTGATGTGTGTGTTCAACTCACAGAGTTTAACTTTCTTTTCATTCAGCAGTTTGGAAACACTCTGTTTGGAAAGTCTGCACGTGGATATTTTGACCTCTTTGAGGCCTTCGTTGGAAACGGGTTTTTTTCATGTAAGGCTAGACAGAAGAAATCTCAGTAACTTCCTTGTGTTGTGTGTATTCAACTGACAGAGTTGAACCTTCCTTTAGACAGAGCAGATTCGAAACGCTCTTTTTCTGCAATTTGCAAGTGGAGACTTCAAGCGCTTTGAGGCCAAAGGCAGAAAAAGAAATATCTTCGTATAAAAACCCGACAGAATCATTCTCAGAAACTGCTCTGTGATGTGTGCGTTCAACTCACAGAGTTTAACTTTTCTTTTCATTCAGCAGTTTGGAAACACTCTGTTTGTAAAGTCTGCAAGTGGATATCTTGGCCTCTTAGAGGCCTTCGTTGGAAACGCGTTTTTTCATGTAAGGTTAGACAGAGGAATTCCCAGTAACTTCCTTGTGTTGTGTGCATTCAACTCACAGAGTTGAATGATTCTTTACACAGAGCAGATTTGAGACACACTTTTGGTGGAATTTGTAAGTGGAGAATTCAGCCGCTTTGAGGTCAACGGTAGAAAAGGAAATATCTTCGTATAAAAACTAGAAAGAATGATTCTCAGAAACTGTTTTGTGATGTGTGCGTTCAACTCACAGAGTTTAACCTTTCTTTTCAAAGAGCAGTTAGGAAACACTCTGTTTGTAAAGTCTGCAAGTGGATATTCAGACCTCTTTGAAGCCTTCGTTGGAAACGGGATTTCATCATATTATGCTAGACAGATGAATTCTCAGTAACTTCCTTGTGTTGTGTGTATTCAACTCACAGAGTTGAACGATCCTTTACACAGAGCAGATTTGAAACACTTTTTCTGGAATTTGCAAGTGGAGATTTCAGCCGCTTTGAGGTCAATGGTAGAAAAGGAAATATCTTCGTATAAAAACTGGACAGAATGATTCTCAGAAACTCCTTTGTGATGTGTGCGTTCAACTCACAGAGTTTAACCTTTCTTTTCACAGAGCAGTTAGGAAACACTCTGTTTGTGAAGCCTGCCAGTGGATATTCGGACCTCTTTGAGGCCTTCGTTGGAAACGGGATTTCTTCATATTATGCTAGACAGAAGATTTCTCAGTAACTTCTTTGTGTTGTGTGTATGCAACTCACAGAGTTCAACCTTCCTTTACACAGAGCAGATTTGAAACACTCTTTTTGTGGAATTTGCAAGTGGAAATTTCAAGCGCATCGATGCCAATGGTAGAAAAGGAAATATCTTCGTATAAAAACAAGACAAACTCGTTCCCAGCACACTGCGTAGTGATGTGTGTGTTTAACTCACAGAGTTTAACCTTTCTTTTCATACAGCATTCTGGGAACCCTCTGTTTGTAAAGTCTGCAAGTGGATATTTGGACCTCTTAGATGCCTTCGTTGGAAACGGGATTTCTTCATATAATGCTAGAGGGAAGAATTCTTAGTAACTTCTTTGTGTTGTGTGTATTCAACTGACAGAGTTGAACCTTCCTTTAGACAGAGCAGATTTGAAAGTCTCTTTTTGTGGAATTTGCAAGTGGAGATTTCAAGCGCTTTGAGGCCAAAAGCAGAAAAGGAAATATTTTCCTATAAAAACTAGAGAGAATCATTCTCAGAAACTGCTCTGTGATGTGTGTGTTCAACTCACAGAGTTTAACTTTCTTTTCATTCAGCAGTTTGGAAACACTCTGTTTGGAAAGTCTGCACGTGGATATTTTGACCTCTTTGAGGCCTTCGTTGGAAACGGGTTTTTTTCATGTAAGGCTAGACAGAAGAAATCTCAGTAACTTCCTTGTGTTGTGTGTATTTAACTGACAGAGTTGAACCTTCCTTTAGACAGAGCAGATTCGAAACGCTCTTTTTCTGCAATTTGCAAGTGGAGACTTCAAGCGCTTTGAGGCCAAGGCAGAAAAGGAAATATCTTCGTATAAAAACCCGACAGAATCATTCTCAGAAACTGCTCTGTGATGTGTGCGTTCAACTCACAGAGTTTAACTTTTCTTTTCATTCAGCAGTTTGGAAACACTCTGTTTGTAAAGTCTGCAAGTGGATATCTTGGCCTCTTAGAGGCCTTCGTTGGAAACGCGTTTTTTCATGTAAGGTTAGACAGAGGAATTCCCAGTAACTTCCTTGTGTTGTGTGCATTCAACTCACAGAGTTGAATGATTCTTTACACAGAGCAGATTTGAGACACACTTTTGGTGGAATTTGTAAGTGGAGAATTCAGCCGCTTTGAGGTCAACGGTAGAAAAGGAAATATCTTCGTATAAAAACTAGAAAGAATGATTCTCAGAAACTGTTTTGTGATGTGTGCGTTCAACTCACAGAGTTTAACCTTTCTTTTCAAAGAGCAGTTAGGAAACACTCTGTTTGTAAAGTCTGCAAGTGGATATTCAGACCTCTTTGAAGCCTTCGTTGGAAACGGGATTTCATCATATTATGCTAGACAGATGAATTCTCAGTAACTTCCTTGTGTTGTGTGTATTCAACTCACAGAGTTGAACGATCCTTTACACAGAGCAGATTTGAAACACTTTTTCTGGAATTTGCAAGTGGAGATTTCAGCCGCTTTGAGGTCAATGGTAGAAAAGGAAATATCTTCGTATAAAAACTGGACAGAATGATTCTCAGAAACTCCTTTGTGATGTGTGCGTTCAACTCACAGAGTTTAACCTTTCTTTTCACAGAGCAGTTAGGAAACACTCTGTTTGTGAAGCCTGCCAGTGGATATTCGGACCTCTTTGAGGCCTTCGTTGGAAACGGGATTTCTTCATATTTTGCTAGACAGAAGATTTCTCAGTAACTTCTTTGTGTTGTGTGTATGCAACTCACAGAGTTCAACCTTCCTTTAGACAGAGCAGATTTGAAACACTCTTTTTGTGGAATTTGCAAGTGGAAATTTCAAGCGCATCGATGCCAATGGTAGAAAAGGAAATATCTTCGTATAAAAACAAGACAAACTCGTTCCCAGACACTGCGTAGTGATGTGTGTGTTTAACTCACAGAGTTTCACCTTTCTTTTCATACAGCATTCTGGAAACCCTGTGTTTGTAAAGTCTGCAAGTGGATATTTGGACCTCTTAGATGCCTTCGTTGGAAACGGGATTTCTTCATATAATGCTAGAGGGAAGAATTCTTAGTAACTTCTTTGTGTTGTGTGTATTCAACTGACAGAGTTGAACCTTCCTTTAGACAGAGCAGATTTGAAAGTCTCTTTTTGTGGAATTTGCAAGTGGAGATTTCAAGCGCTTTGAGGCCAAAAGCAGAAAAGGAAATATTTTCCTATAAAAACTAGACAGAATCTTTCTCAGAAACTGCTCTGGGATGTGTGCGTTCAACTCACAGAGTTTAACTTTTCTTTTCATTCAGCAGTTTGGAAACACTCTGTTTGGAAAGTCTGCCCGTGGATATTTTGACCTCTTTGAGGCCTTCGTTGGAAACGGGTTTTTTTCATGTAAGGCTAGACAGAAGAAATCTCAGTAACTTCCTTGTGTTGTGTGTATTCAACTGACAGAGTTGAACCTTCCTTTAGACAGAGCAGATTCGAAACACTCTTTTTCTGCAATTTGCAAGTGGAGACTTCAAGCGCTTTGAGGCCAAAGGCAGAAAAGGAAATATCTTCGTATAAAAACCCGACAGAATCACTCTCAGAAACTGCTCTGTGATGTGTGCGTTCAACTCACAGAGTTTAACTTTTCTTTTCATTCAGCAGTTTGGAAACACTCTGTTTGTAAAGTCTGCAAGTGGATATCTTGGCCTCTTAGAGGCCTTCGTTGGAAACGGGTTTTTTCATGTAAGGATAGACAGAGGAATTCCCAGTAACTTCCTTGTGTTGTGTGCATTCAACTCACAGAGTTGAATGATTCTTTACACAGAGCAGATTTGAGACACTCTTTTGGTGGAATTTGTAAGTGGAGAATTCAGCCGCTTTGAGGTCAACGGTAGAAAAGGAAATATCTTCGTATAAAAACTAGACAGAATGATTATCAGAAACTGTTTTGTGATGTGTGCGTTCAACTCACAGAGTTTAACCTTTCTTTTCAAAGAGCAGTTAGGAAACACTCTGTTTGTAAAGTCTGCAAGTGGATATACAGACCTCTTTGAGGCCTTCGTTGGAAACGGGATTTCTTCATATTATGCTAGACAGATGAATTCTCAGTAACTTCCTTGTGTTGTGTGTATTCAACTCACAGAGTTGAACGATCCTTTACACAGAGCAGATTTGAAACACTGTTTTTCTGGAATTTGCAAGTGGAGATTTCAGCCGCTTTGAGGTCAATGGTAGAAAAGGAAATATCTTCGTATAAAAACTAGACAGAATGATTCTCAGAAACTCCTTTGTGATGTGTGCGTTCAACTCACAGAGTTTAACCTTTCTTTTCACAGAGCAGTTAGGAAACACTCTGTTTGTGAAGCCTGCCAGTGGATATTCGGACCTCTTTGAGGCCTTCGTTGGAAACGGGATTTCTTCATATTATGCTATTCAGAAGATTTCTCAGTAACTTCTTTGTGTTGTGTGTATGCAACTCACAGAGTTCAACCTTCCTTTAGACAGAGCAGATTTGAAACACTCTTTTTGTGGAATTTGCAAGTGGAGATTTCAAGCGCTTCGATGCCAATGGTAGAAAAGGAAATATCTTCGTATAAAAACAAGACAAACTCGTTCCCAGACACTGCGTAGTGATGTGTGTGTTTAACTCACTGAGTTTAACCTTTCTTTTCATACAGCATTCTGGAAACCCTCTGTTTGTAAAGTCTGCAAGTGGATATTTGGACCTCTTAGATGCCTTCGTTGGAAACGGGATTTCTTCGTATAATGCTAGAGGGAAGAATTCTTAGTAACTTCTTTGTGTTGTGTGTATTCAACTGACAGAGTTGAACCTTCCTTTAGACAGAGCAGATTTGAAAGTCTCTTTTTGTGGAATTTGCAAGTGGAGATTTCAAGCGCTTTGAGGCCAAAAGCAGAAAAGGAAATATTTTCCTATAAAAACTCGACAGAATCTTTCTCAGAAACTGCTCTGGGATGTGTGCGTTCAACTCACAGAGTTTAACTTTTCTTTTCATTCAGCAGTTTGGAAACACTCTGTTTGGAAAGTCTGCACGTGGATATTTTGACCTCTTTGAGGCCTTCGTTGGAAACGGGTTTTTTTCATGTAAGGCTAGACAGAAGAAATCTCAGTAACTTCCTTGTGTTGTGTGTATTCAACTGACAGAGTTGAACCTTCCTTTAGACAGAGCAGATTCGAAACACTCTTTTTCTGCAATTTGCAAGTGGAGACTTCAAGCGCTTTGAGGCCAAAGGCAGAAAAGGAAATATCTTCGTATAAAAACCCGACAGAATCATTCTCAGAAACTGCTCTGTGATGTGTGCGTTCAACTCACAGAGTTTAACTTTTCTTTTCATTTAGCAGTTTGGAAACACTCTGTTTGTAAAGTCTGCAAGTGGATATCTTGGCCTCTTAGAGGCCTTCGTTGGAAACGGGTTTTTTCATGTAAGGTTAGACAGAGGAATTCCCAGTAACTTCCTTGTGTTGTGTGCATTCAACTCACAGAGTTGAATGATTCTTTACACAGAGCAGATTTGAGACACTCTTTTGGTGGAATTTGTAAGTGGAGAATTCAGCCGCTTTGAGGTCAACGGTAGAAAAGGAAATATCTTCGTATAAAAACTAGAAAGAATGATTCTCAGAAACTGTTTTGTGATGTGTGCGTTCAACTCACAGAGTTTAACCTTTCTTTTCAAACAGCAGTTAGGAAACACTCTGTTTGTAAAGTCTGCAAGTGGATATTCAGACCTCTTTGAAGCCTTCGTTGGAAACGGGATTTCTTCATATTATGCTAGACAGATGAATTCTCAGTAACTTCCTTGTGTTGTGTGTATTCAACTCACAGAGTTGAACGATCCTTTACACAGAGCAGATTTGAAACACTGTTTTTCTGGAATTTGCAAGTGGAGATTTCAGCCGCTTTGAGGTCAATGGTAGAAAAGGAAATATCTTCGTATAAAAACTGGACAGAATGATTCTCAGAAACTCCTTTGTGATGTGTGCGTTCAACTCACAGAGTTTAACCTTTCTTTTCACAGAGCAGTTAGGAAACACTCTGTTTGTGAAGCCTGCCAGTGGATATTCGGACCTCTTTGAGGCCTTCGTTGGAAACGGGATTTCTTCATATTATGCTAGACAGAAGATTTCTCAGTAACTTCTTTGTGTTGTGTGTATGCAACTCACAGAGTTCAACCTTCCTTTAGACAGAGCAGATTTGAAACACTCTTTTTGTGGAATTTGCAAGTGGAGATTTCAAGCGCTTCGATGCCAATGGTAGAAAAGGAAATATCTTCGTATAAAAACAAGACAAACTCGTTCCCAGACACTGCGTAGTGATGTGTGTGTTTAACTCACAGAGTTTAACCTTTCTTTTCATACAGCATTCTGGAAACCCTGTGTTTGTAAAGTCTGCAAGTGGATATTTGGACCTCTTAGATGCCTTCGTTGGAAACGGGATTTCTTCATATAATGCTAGAGGGAAGAATTCTTAGTAACTTCTTTGTGTTGTGTGTATTCAACTGACAGAGTTGAACCTTCCTTTAGACAGAGCAGATTTGAAAGTCTCTTTTTGTGGAATTTGCAAGTGGAGATTTCAAGCGCTTTGAGGCCAAAAGCAGAAAAGGAAATATTTTCCTATAAAAACTAGACAGAATCATTCTCAGAAACTGCTCTGTGATGTGTGTGTTCAACTCACAGAGTTTAACTTTCTTTTCATTCAGCAGTTTGGAAACACTCTGTTTGGAAAGTCTGCACGTGGATATTTTGACCTCTTTGAGGCCTTCGTTGGAAACGGGTTTTTTTCATGTAACGCTAGACAGAAGAAATCTCAGTAACTTCCTTGTGTTGTGTGTATTCAACTGACAGAGTTGAACCTTCCTTTAGACAGAGCAGATTCGAAACACTCTTTTTCTGCAATTTGCAAGTGGAGACTTCAAGCGCTTTGAGGCCAAAGGCAGAAAAGGAAATATCTTCGTATAAAAACCCGACAGAATCATTCTCAGAAACTGCTCTGTGATGTGTGCGTTCAACTCACAGAGTTTAACTTTTCTTTTCATTCAGCAGTTTGGAAACACTCTGTTTGTAAAGTCTGCAAGTGGATATCTTGGCCTCTTAGAGGCCTTCGTTGGAAACGGGTTTTTTCATGTAAGGTTAGACAGAGGAATTCCCAGTAACTTCCTTGTGTTGTGTGCATTCAACTCACAGAGTTGAATGATTCTTTACACAGAGCAGATTTGAGACACTCTTTTGGTGGAATTTGTAAGTGGAGAATTCAGCCGCTTTGAGGTCAACGGTAGAAAAGGAAATATCTTCGTATAAAAACTAGACAGAATGATTCTCAGAAACTGTTTTGTGATGTGTGCTTTCAACTCACAGAGTTTAACCTTTCTTTTCAAAGAGCAGTTAGGAAACACTCTGTTTGTAAAGTCTGCAAGTGGATATTCAGACCTCTTTGAGGCCTTCGTTGGAAACGGGATTTCTTCATATTATGCTAGACAGATGAATTCTCAGTAACTTCCTTGTGTTGTGTGTATTCAACTCACAGAGTTGAACGATCCTTTACACAGAGCAGATTTGAAACACTGTTTTTCTGGAATTTGCAAGTGGAGATTTCAGCCGCTTTGAGGTCAATGGTAGAAAAGGAAATATCTTCGTATAAAAACTAGACAGAATGATTCTCAGAAACTCCTTTGTGATGTGTGCGTTCAACTCACAGAGTTTAACCTTTCTTTTCACAGAGCAGTTAGGAAACACTCTGTTTGTGAAGCCTGCCAGTGGATATTCGGACCTCTTTGAGGCCTTCGTTGGAAACGGGATTTCTTCATATTATGCTAGACAGAAGAAATCTCAGTAACTTCCTTGTGTTGTGTGTATTCAACTGACAGAGTTCAACCTTCCTTTAGACAGAGCAGATTTGAAACACTCTTTTTGTGGAATTTGCAAGTGGAGATTTCAAGCACTTTGAGGCCAAAAGCAGAAAAGGAAATATTTTCCTATAAAAACTAGACAGAATCTTTCTCAGAAACTGCTCTGTGATGTGTGCGTTCAACTCACAGAGTTTAACTTTTCTTTTCATTCAGCAGTTTGGAAACACTCTGTTTGTAAAGTCTGCAAGTGGATATCTTGGCCTCTTAGAGGCCTTCGTTGGAAACGGGTTTTTTCATGTAAGGATAGACAGAGGAATTCCCAGTAACTTCCTTGTGTTGTGTGCATTCAACTCACAGAGTTGAATGATTCTTTACACAGAGCAGATTTGAGACACTCTTTTGGTGGAATTTGTAAGTGGAGAATTCAGCCGCTTTGAGGTCAACGGTAGAAAAGGAAATATCTTCGTATAAAAACTAGACAGAATGATTCTCAGAAACTGTTTTGTGATGTGTGCGTTCAACTCACAGAGTTTAACCTTTCTTTTCAAAGAGCAGTTAGGAAACACTCTGTTTGTAAAGTCTGCAAGTGGATATTCAGACCTCTTTGAGGCCTTCGTTGGAAACGGGATTTCTTCATATTATGCTAGACAGATGAATTCTCAGTAACTTCCTTGTGTTGTGTGTATTCAACTCACAGAGTTGAACGATCCTTTACACAGAGCAGATTTGAAACACTGTTTTTCTGGAATTTGCAAGTGGAGATTTCAGCCGCTTTGAGGTCAATGGTAGAAAAGGAAATATCTTCGTATAAAAACTAGACAGAATGATTCTCAGAAACTCCTTTGTGATGTGTGCGTTCAACTCACAGAGTTTAACCTTTCTTTTCACAGAGCAGTTAGGAAACACTCTGTTTGTGAAGCCTGCCAGTGGATATTCGGACCTCTTTGAGGCCTTCGTTGGAAACGGGATTTCTTCATATTATGCTAGACAGAAGATTTCTCAGTAACTTCTTTGTGTTGTGTGTATGCAACTCACAGAGTTCAACCTTCCTTTAGACAGAGCAGATTTGAAACACTCTTTTTGTGGAATTTGCAAGTGGAGATTTCAAGCGCTTCGATGCCATTGGTAGAAAAGGAAATATCTTCGTATAAAAACAAGACAAACTCGTTCCCAGACACTGCGTAGTGATGTGTGTGTTTAACTCACAGAGTTTCACCTTTCTTTTCATACAGCATTCTGGAAACCCTGTGTTTGTAAAGTCTGCAAGTGGATATTTGGACCTCTTAGATGCCTTCGTTGGAAACGGGATTTCTTCATATAATGCTAGAGGGAAGAATTCTTAGTAACTTCTTTGTGTTGTGTGTATTCAACTGACAGAGTTGAACCTTCCTTTAGACAGAGCAGATTTGAAAGTCTCTTTTTGTGGAATTTGCAAGTGGAGATTTCAAGCGCTTTGAGGCCAAAAGCAGAAAAGGAAATATTTTCCTATAAAAACTCGACAGAATCTTTCTCAGAAACTGCTCTGGGATGTGTGCGTTCAACTCACAGAGTTTAACTTTTCTTTTCATTCAGCAGTTTGGAAACACTCTGTTTGGAAAGTCTGCACGTGGATATTTTGACCTCTTTGAGGCCTTCGTTGGAAACGGGTTTTTTTCATGTAAGGCTAGACAGAAGAAATCTCAGTAACTTCCTTGTGTTGTGTGTATTCAACTGACAGAGTTGAACCTTCCTTTAGACAGAGCAGATTCGAAACACTCTTTTTCTGCAATTTGCAAGTGGAGACTTCAAGCGCTTTGAGGCCAAAGGCAGAAAAGGAAATATCTTCGTATAAAAACCCGACAGAATCATTCTCAGAAACTGCTCTGTGATGTGTGCGTTCAACTCACAGAGTTTAACTTTTCTTTTCATTCAGCAGTTTGGAAACACTCTGTTTGTAAAGTCTGCAAGTGGATATCTTGGCCTCTTAGAGGCCTTCGTTGGAAACGGGTTTTTTCATGTAAGGTTAGACAGAGGAATTCCCAGTAACTTCCTTGTGTTGTGTGCATTCAACTCACAGAGTTGAATGATTCTTTACACAGAGCAGATTTGAGACACTCTTTGGGTGGAATTTGTAAGTGGAGAATTCAGCTGCTTTGAGGTCAACGGTAGAAAAGGAAATATCTTCGTATAAAAACTAGACAGAATGATTCTCAGAAACTGTTTTGTGATGTGTGCGTTCAACTCACAGAGTTTAACCTTTCTTTTCAAAGAGCAGTTAGGAAACACTCTGTTTGTAAAGTCTGCAAGTGGATATTCAGACCTCTTTGAGGCCTTCGTTGGAAACGGGATTTCTTCATATTATGCTAGACAGATGAATTCTCAGTAACTTCCTTGTGTTGTGTGTATTCAACTCACAGAGTTGAACGATCCTTTACACAGAGCAGATTTGAAACACTGTTTTTCTGGAATTTGCAAGTGGAGATTTCAGCCGCTTTGAGGTCAATGGTAGAAAAGGAAATATCTTCGTATAAAAACTAGACAGAATGATTCTCAGAAACTCCTTTGTGATGTGTGCGTTCAACTCACAGGGTTTAACCTTTCTTTTCACAGAGCAGTTAGGAAACACTCTGTTTGTGAAGCCTGCCAGTGGATATTCGGACCTCTTTGAGGCCTTCGTTGGAAACGGGATTTCTTCATATTATGCTAGACAGAAGATTTCTCAGTAACTTCTTTGTGTTGTGTGTATGCAACTCACAGAGTTCAACCTTCCTTTAGACAGAGCAGATTTGAAACACTCTTTTTGTGGAATTTGCAAGTGGAGATTTCAAGCGCTTCGATGCCAATGGTAGAAAAGGAAATATCTTCGTATAAAAACAAGACAAACTCGTTCCCAGACACTGCGTAGTGATGTGTGTGTTTAACTCACAGAGTTTCACCTTTCTTTTCATACAGCATTCTGGAAACCCTCTGTTTGTAAAGTCTGCAAGTGGATATTTGGACCTCTTAGATGCCTTCGTTGCAAACGGGATTTCTTCATATAATGCTAGAGGGAAGAATTCTTAGTAACTTCTTTGTGTTGTGTGTATTCAACTGACAGAGTTGAACCTTCCTTTAGACAGAGCAGATTTGAAAGTCTCTTTTTGTGGAATTTGCAAGTGGAGATTTCAAGCGCTTTGAGGCCAAAAGCAGAAAAGGAAATATTTTCCTATAAAAACTCGACAGAATCTTTCTCAGAAACTGCTCTGGGATGTGTGCGTTCAACTCACAGAGTTTAACTTTTCTTTTCATTCAGCAGTTTGGAAACACTCTGTTTGGAAAGTCTGCACGTGGATATTTTGACCTCTTTGAGGCCTTCGTTGGAAACGGGTTTTTTTCATGTAAGGCTAGACAGAAGAAATCTCAGTAACTTCCTTGTGTTGTGTGTATTCAACTGACAGAGTTGAACCTTCCTTTAGACAGAGCAGATTCGAAACACTCTTTTTCTGCAATTTGCAAGTGGAGACTTCAAGCGCTTTGAGGCCAAAGGCAGAAAAGGAAATATCTTCGTATAAAAACCCGACAGAATCATTCTCAGAAACTGCTCTGTGATGTGTGCGTTCAACTCACAGAGTTTAACTTTTCTTTTCATTCAGCAGTTTGGAAACACTCTGTTTGTAAAGTCTGCAAGTGGATATCTTGGCCTCTTAGAGGCCTTCGTTGGAAAAGGGTTTTTTCATGTAAGTTAGACAGATGAATTCCCAGTAACTTCCTTGTGTTGTGTGCATTCAACTCACAGAGTTGAATGATTCTTTACACAGAGCAGATTTGAGACACTCTTTTGGTGGAATTTGTAAGTGGAGAATTCAGCCGCTTTGAGGTCAACGGTAGAAAAGGAAATATCTTCGTATAAAAACTAGACAGAATGATTCTCAGAAACTGTTTTGTGATGTGTGCGTTCAACTCACAGAGTTTAACCTTTCTTTTCAGAGAGCAGTTAGGAAACACTCTGTTTGTAAAGTCTGCAAGTGGATATTCAGACCTCTTTGAGGCCTTCGTTGGAAACGGGATTTCTTCATATTATGCTAGACAGATGAATTCTCAGTAACTTCCTTGTGTTGTGTGTATTCAACTCACAGAGTTGAACGATCCTTTACACAGAGCAGATTTGAAACACTGTTTTTCTGGAATTTGCAAGTGGAGATTTCAGCCGATTTGAGGTCAATGGTAGAAAAGGAAATATCTTCGTATAAAAACTAGACAGAATGATTCTCAGAAACTCCTTTGTGATGTGTGCGTTCAACTCACAGAGTTTAACCTTTCTTTTCACAGAGCAGTTAGGAAACACTCTGTTTGTGAAGCCTGCCAGTGGATATTCGGACCTCTTTGAGGCCTTCGTTGGAAACGGGATTTCTTCATATTATGCTAGACAGAAGATTTCTCAGTAACTTCTTTGGGTTGTGTGTATGCAACTCACAGAGTTCAACCTTCCTTTAGACAGAGCAGATTTGAAACACTCTTTTTGTGGAATTTGCAAGTGGAGATTTCAAGCGCTTTGAGGCCAAAAGCAGAAAAGGAAATATTTTCCTATAAAAACTCGACAGAATATTTCTCAGAAACTGCTCTGGGATGTGTGCGTTCAACTCACAGAGTTTAACTTTTCTTTTCATTCAGCAGTTTGGAAACACTCTGTTTGGAAAGTCTGCACGTGGATATTTTGACCTCTTTGAGGCCTTCGTTGGAAACGGGTTTTTTTCATGTAAGGCTAGACAGAAGAAATCTCAGTAACTTCCTTGTGTTATGTGTATTCAACTGACAGAGTTGAACCTTCCTTTAGACAGAGCAGATTCGAAACACTCTTTTTCTGCAATTTGCAAGTGGAGACTTCAAGCGCTTTGAGGCCAAAGGCAGAAAAGGAAATATCTTCGTATAAAAACCCGACAGAATCATTCTCAGAAACTGCTCTGTGATGTGTGCGTTCAACTCACAGAGTATAACTTTTCTTTTCATTCAGCAGTTTGGAAACACTCTGTTTGTAAAGTCTGCAAGTGGATATCTTGGCCTCTTAGAGGCCTTGGTTGGAAACGGGTTTTTTCATGTAAGGTTAGACAGAGGAATTCCCAGTAACTTCCTTGTGTTGTGTGCATTCAACTCACAGAGTTGAATGATTCTTTACACAGAGCAGATTTGAGACACTCTTTTGGTGGAATTTGTTAGTGGAGAATTCAGCCGCTTTGAGGTCAACGGTAGAAAAGGAAATATCTTCGTATAAAAACTAGACAGAATGATTCTCAGAAACTGTTTTGTGATGTGTGCGTTCAACTCACAGAGTTTAACCTTTCTTTTCAAAGAGCAGTTAGGAAACACTCTGTTTCTAAAGTCTGCAAGTGGATATTCAGACCTCTTTGAGGCCTTCGTTGGAAACGGGATTTCTTCATATTATGCTAGACAGATGAATTCTCAGTAACTTCCTTGTGTTGTGTGTATTCAACTCACAGAGTTGAACGATCCTTTACACAGAGCAGATTTGAAACACTGTTTTTCTGGAATTTGCAAGTGGAGATTTCAGCCGCTTTGAGGTCAATGGTAGAAAAGGAAATATCTTCGTATAAAAACTAGACAGAATGATTCTCAGAAACTCCTTTGTGATGTGTGCGTTCAACTCACAGAGTTTAACCTTTCTTTTCACAGAGCAGTTAGGAAACACTCTGTTTGTGAAGCCTGCCAGTGGATATTCGGACCTCTTTGAGGCCTTCGTTGGAAACGGGATTTCTTCATATTATGCTAGACAGAAGATTTCTCAGTAACTTCTTTGTGTTGTGTGTATGCAACTCACAGAGTTCAACCTTCCTTTAGACAGAGCAGATTTGAAACACTCTTTTTGTGGAATTTGCAAGTGGAGATTTCAAGCGCTTCGATGCCAATGGTAGAAAAGGAAATATCTTCGTATAAAAACAAGACAAACTCGTTCCCAGACACTGCGTAGTGATGTGTGTGTTTAACTCACAGAGTTTAACCTTTCTTTTCATACAGCATTCTGGAAACCCTGTGTTTGTAAAGTCTGCAAGTGGATATTTGGACCTCTTAGATGCCTTCGTTGGAAACGGGATTTCTTCATATAATGCTAGAGGGAAGAATTCTTAGTAACTTCTTTGTGTTGTGTGTATTCAACTGACAGAGTTGAACCTTCCTTTAGACAGAGCAGATTTGAAAGTCTCTTTTTGTGGAATTTGCAAGTGGAGATTTCAAGCGCTTTGAGGCCAAAAGCAGAAAAGGAAATATTTTCCTATAAAAACTCGACAGAATCATTCTCAGAAACTGCTCTGTGATGTGTGCGTTCAACTCACAGAGTTTAACTTTTCTTTTCATTCAGCAGTTTGGAAACACTGTTTGGAAAGTCTGCACGTGGATATTTTGACCTCTTTGAGGCCTTCGTTGGAAACGGGTTTTTTTCATGTAAGGCTAGACAGAAGAAATCTCAGTAAATTCCCTTGTGTTGTGTGTATTCAACTGACAGAGTTGAACCTTCCTTTAGACAGAGCAGATTCGAAACACTCTTTTTCTGCAATTTGCAAGTGGAGACTTCAAGCGCTTTGAGGCCAAAGGCAGAAAAGGAAATATCTTCGTATAAAAACCCGACAGAATCACTCTCAGAAACTGCTCTGTGATGTGTGCGTTCAACTCACAGAGTTTAACTTTTCTTTTCATTCAGCAGTTTGGAAACACTCTGTTTGTAAAGTCTGCAAGTGGATATCTTGGCCTCTTAGAGGCCTTCGTTGGAAACGGGTTTTTTCATGTAAGGTTAGACAGAGGAATTCCCAGTAACTTCCTTGTGTTGTGTGCATTCAACTCACAGAGTTGAATGATTCTTTACACAGAGCAGATTTGAGACACTCTTTTGGTGGAATTTGTAAGTGGAGAATTCAGCCGCTTTGAGGTCAACGGTAGAAAAGGAAATATCTTCGTATAAAAACTAGACAGAATGATTCTCAGAAACTGTTTTGTGATGTGTGCGTTCAACTCACAGAGTTTAACCTTTCTTTTCAAAGAGCAGTTAGGAAACACTCTGTTTGTAAAGTCTGCAAGTGGATATTCAGACCTCTTTGAGGCCTTCGTTGGAAACGGGATTTCTTCATATTATGCTAGACAGATGAATTCTCAGTAACTTCCTTGTGTTGTGTGTATTCAACTCACAGAGTTGAACGATCCTTTACACAGAGCAGATTTGAAACACTGTTTTTCTGGAATTTGCAAGTGGAGATTTCAGCCGCTTTGAGGTCAATGGTGGAAAAGGAAATATCTTCGTATAAAAACTAGACAGAATGATTCTCAGAAACTCCTTTGTGATGTGTGCGTTCAACTCACAGAGTTTAACCTTTCTTTTCACAGAGCAGTTAGGAAACACTCTGTTTGTGAAGCCTGCCAGTGGATATTCGGACCTCTTTGAGGCCTTCGTTGGAAACGGGATTTCTTCATATTATGCTAGACAGAAGATTTCTCAGTAACTTCTTTGTGTTGTGTGTATGCAACTCACAGAGTTCAACCTTCCTTTAGACAGAGCAGATTTGAAACACTCTTTTTGTGGAATTTGCAAGTGGAGATTTCAAGCGCTTCGATGCCAATGGTAGAAAAGGAAATATCTTCGTATAAAAACAAGACAAACTCGTTCCCAGACACTGCGTAGTGATGTGTGTGTTTAACTCACAGAGTTTCACCTTTCTTTTCATACAGCATTCTGGAAACCCTCTGTTTGTAAAGTCTGCAAGTGCATATTTGGACCTCTTAGATGCCTTCGTTGGAAACGGGATTTCTTCATATAATGCTAGAGGGAAGAATTCTTAGTAACTTCTTTGTGTTGTGTGTATTCAACTGACAGAGTTGAACCTTCCTTTAGACAGAGCAGATTTGAAAGTCTCTTTTTGTGGAATTTGCAAGTGGAGATTTCAAGCGCTTTGAGGCCAAAAGCAGAAAAGGAAATATTTTCCTATAAAAACTAGACAGAATCTTTCTCAGAAACTGCTCTGGGATGTGTGCGTTCAACTCACAGAGTTTAACTTTTCTTTTCATTCAGCAGTTTGGAAACACTCTGTTTGGAAAGTCTGCACGTGGATATTTTGACATCTTTGAGGCCTTCGTTGGAAACGGGTTTTTTTCATGTAAGGCTAGACAGAAGAAATCTCAGTAACTTCCTTGTGTTGTGTGTATTCAACTGACAGAGTTGAACCTTCCTTTAGACAGAGCAGATTCGAAACACTCTTTTTCTGCAATTTGCAAGTGGAGACTTCAAGCGCTTTGAGGCCAAAGGCAGAAAAGGAAATATCTTCGTATAAAAACCCGACAGAATCATTCTCAGAAACTGCTCTGTGATGTGTGCGTTCAACTCACAGAGTTTAACTTTTCTTTTCATTCAGCAGTTTGGAAACACTCTGTTTGTAAAGTCTGCAAGTGGATATCTTGGCCTCTTAGAGGCCTTCGTTGGAAACGGGTTTTTTCATGTAAGGATAGACAGAGGAATTCCCAGTAACTTCCTTGTGTTGTGTGCATTCAACTCACAGAGTTGAATGATTCTTTACACAGAGCAGATTTGAGACACTCTTTGGGTGGAATTTGTAAGTGGAGAATTCAGCCGCTTTGAGGTCAACGGTAGAAAAGGAAATATCTTCGTATAAAAACTAGACAGAATGATTCTCAGAAACTGTTTTGTGATGTGTGCGTTCAACTCACAGAGTTTAACCTTTCTTTTCAGAGAGCAGTTAGGAAACACTCTGTTTGTAAAGTCTGCAAGTGGATATTCAGACCTCTTTGAGGCCTTCGTTGGAAACGGGATTTCTTCATATTATGCTAGACAGATGAATTCTCAGTAACTTCCTTGTGTTGTGTGTATTCAACTCACAGAGTTGAACGATCCTTTACACAGAGCAGATTTGAAACACTGTTTTTCTGGAATTTGCAAGTGGAGATTTCAGCCGCTTTGAGGTCAATGGTAGAAAAGGAAATATCTTCGTATAAAAACTAGACAGAATGATTCTCAGAAACTCCTTTGTGATGTGTGCGTTCAACTCACAGAGTTTAACCTTTCTTTTCACAGAGCAGTTAGGAAACACTCTGTTTGTGAAGCCTGCCAGTGGATATTCGGACCTCTTTGAGGCCTTCGTTGGAAACGGGATTTCTTCATATTATGCTAGACAGAAGATTTCTCAGTAACTTCTTCGTGTTGTGTGTATGCAACTCACAGAGTTCAACCTTCCTTTAGACAGAGCAGATTTGAAACACTCTTTTTGTGGAATTTGCAAGTGGAGATTTCAAGCGCTTCGATGCCAATGGTAGAAAAGGAAATATCTTCGTAGAAAAACAAGACAAACTCGTTCCCAGACACTGCGTACTGATGTGTGTGTTTAACTCACAGAGTTTAACCTTTCTGTTCATACAGCATTCTGGAAACCCTCTGTTTGTAAAGTCTGCAAGTGGATATTTGGACCTCTTAGATGCCTTCTTTGGAAACGGGATTTCTTCATATAATGCTAGAGGGAAGAATTCTTAGTAACTTCTTTGTGTTGTGTGTATTCAACTGACAGAGTTGAACCTTCCTTTAGACAGAGCAGATTTGAAAGTCTCTTTTTGTGGAATTTGCAAGTGGAGATTTCAAGCGCTTTGAGGCCAAAAGCAGAAAAGGAAATATTTTCCTATAAAAACTAGACAGAATCATTCTCAGAAACTGCTCTGTGATGTGTGCGTTCAACTCACAGAGCTTAACTTTTCTTTTCATTCAGCAGTTTGGAAACACTCTGTTTGGAAAGTCTGCACGTGGATATTTTGACCTCTTCGAGGCCTTCGTTGGAAACGGGTTTTTTTCATGTAAGGCTAGACAGAAGAAATCTCAGTAACTTCCTTGTGTTGTGTGTATTCAGTTGACAGGGTTGAACCTTCCTTTAGACAGAGCAGATTCGAAACACTCTTTTTCTGCAATTTGCAAGTGGAGACTTCTAGCGCATTGAGGCCAAAGGCAGAAAAGGAAATATCTTCGTATAAAAACCCGACAGAATCATTCTCAGAAACTGCTCTGTGATGTGTGCGTTCAACTCACAGAGTTTAACTTTTCTTTTCATTCAGCAGTTTGGAAACACTCTCTTTGTAAAGTCTGCAAGGGGATATATTGGCCTCTTAGAGGCCTTCGTGGGAAACGGGTTTTTTCATGTAAGGTTAGACAGAGGAATTCCCAGTAACTTCCTTGTGTTGTGTGCATTCAACTCACAGAGTTGAATGATTCTTTACACAGAGCAGATTTGAGACACTCTTTTGGTGGAATTTGTAAGTGGAGAATTCAGCCGCTTTGAGGTCAACGGTAGAAAAGGAAATATCTTCGTATAAAAACTAGACAGAATGATTCTCAGAAACTGTTTTGTGATGTGTGCGTTCAACTCACAGAGTTTAACCTTTCTTTTCAAAGAGCAGTTAGGAAACACTCTGTTTGTAAAGTCTGCAAGTGGATATTCAGACCTCTTTGAGGCCTTCGTTGGAAACGGGATTTCTTCATATTATGCTAGACAGATGAATTCTCAGTAACTTCCTTGTGTTGTGTGTATTCAACTCACAGAGTTGAACGATCCTTTACACAGAGCAGATTTGAAACACTGTTTTTCTGGAATTTGCAAGTGGAGATTTCAGCCGCTTTGAGGTCAATGGTAGAAAAGGAAATATCTTCGTATAAAAACTAGACAGAATGATTCTCAGAAACTCCTTTGTGATGTGTGCGTTCAACTCACAGAGTTTAACCTTTCTTTTCACAGAGCAGTTAGGAAACACTCTGTTTGTGAAGCCTGCCAGTGGATATTCGGACCTCTTTGAGGCCTTCGTTGGAAACGGGATTTCTTCATATTATGCTAGACAGAAGATTTCTCAGTAACTTCTTTGGGTTGTGTGTATGCAACTCACAGAGTTCAACCTTCCTTTAGAGAGAGCATATTTGAAACACTCTTTTTGTGGAATTTGCAAGTGGAGATTTCAAGCGCTTCGATGCCAATGGTAGAAAAGGAAATATCTTCGTATAAAAACAAGACAAACTCGTTCCCAGACACTGCGTAGTGATGTGTGTGTTTAACTCACAGAGTTTAACCTTTCTTTTCATACAGCATTCTGGAAACCCTGTGTTTGTAAAGTCTGCAAGTGGATATTTGGACCTCTTAGATGCCTTCGTTGGAAACGGGATTTCTTCATATAATGCTAGAGGGAAGAATTCTTAGTAACTTCTTTGTGTTGTGTGTATTCAACTGACAGAGTTGAACCTTCCTTTAGACAGAGCAGATTTGAAAGTCTCTTTCTGTGGAATTTGCAAGTGGAGATTTCAAGCGCTTTGAGGCCAAAAGCAGAAAAGGAAATATTTTCCTATAAAAACTCGACAGAATCTTTCTCAGAAACTGCTCTGGGATGTGTGCGTTCAACTCACAGAGTTTAACTTTTCTTTTCATTCAGCAGTTTGGAAACACTCTGTTTGGAAAGTCTGCACGTGGATATTTTGACCTCTTTGAGGCCTTCGTTGGAAACGGGTTTTTTTCATGTAAGGCTAGACAGAAGAAATCTCAGTAACTTCCTTGTGTTGTGTGTATTCAACTGACAGAGTTGAACCTTCCTTTAGACAGAGCAGATTCGAAACACTCTTTTTCTGCAATTTGCAAGTGGACACTTCAAGCGCTTTGAGGCCAAAGGCAGAAAAGGAAATATCTTCGTATAAAAACCCGACAGAATCATTCTCAGAAACTGCTCTGTGATGTGTGCGTTCAACTCACAGAGTTTAACTTTTCTTTTCATTCAGCAGTTTGGAAACACTCTGTTTGTAAAGTCTGCAAGTGGATATCTTGGCCTCTTAGAGGCCTTCGTTGGAAACGGGTTTTTTCATGTAAGGTTAGACAGAGGAATTCCCAGTAACTTCCTTGTGTTGTGTGCATTCAACTCACAGAGTTGAATGATTCTTTACACAGAGCAGATTTGAGACACTCTTTTGGTGGAATTTGTAAGTGGAGAATTCAGCCGCTTTGAGGTCAACGGTAGAAAAGGAAATATCTTCGTATAAAAACTAGACAGAATGATTCTCAGAAACTGTTTTGTGATGTGTGCGTTCAACTCACAGAGTTTAACCTTTCTTTTCAAAGAGCAGTTAGGAAACACTCTGTTTGTAAAGTCTGCAAGTGGATATTCAGACCTCTTTGAGGCCTTCGTTGGAAACGGGATTTCTTCATATTATGCTAGACAGATGAATTCTCAGTAACTTCCTTGTGTTGTGTGTATTCAACTCACAGAGTTGAACGATCCTTTACACAGAGCAGATTTGAAACACTGTTTTTCTGGAATTTGCAAGTGGAGATTTCAGCCGCTTTGAGGTCAATGGTAGAAAAGGAAATATCTTCGTATAAAAACTAGACAGAATGATTCTCAGAAACTCCTTTGTGATGTGTGCGTTCAACTCACAGAGTTTAACCTTTCTTTTCACAGAGCAGTTAGGAAACACTCTGTTTGTGAAGCCTGCCAGTGGATATTCGGACCTCTTTGAGGCCTTCGTTGGAAACGGGATTTCTTCATATTATGCTAGACAGAAGATTTCTCAGTAACTTCTTTGTGTTGTGTGTATGCAACTCACAGAGTTCAACCTTCCTTTAGACAGAGCAGATTTGAAACACTCTTTTTGTGGAATTTGCAAGTGGAGATTTCAAGCGCTTCGATGCCAATGGTAGAAAAGGAAATATCTTCGTATAAAAACCAAGACAAAACTCGTTCCCAGAACACTGCGTAGTGATGTGTGTGTTTAACTCACAGAGTTTAACCTTTCTTTTCATACAGCATTCTGGAAACCCTCTGTTTGTAAAGTCTGCAAGTGGATATTTGGACCTCTTAGATGCCTTCGTTGGAAACGGGATTTCTTCATATAATGCTAGAGGGAAGAATTCTTAGTAACTTCTTTGTGTTGTGTGTATTCAACTGACAGAATTGAACCTTCCTTTAGACAGAGCAGATTTGAAAGTCTCTTTTTGTGGAATTCGCAAGTGGAGATTTCAAGCGCTTTGAGGCCAAAAGCAGAAAAGGAAATATTTTCCTATAAAAACTAGACAGAATCTTTCTCAGAAACTGCTCTGGGATGTGTGCTGTTCAACTCACAGAGTTTAACTTTTCTTTTCATTCAGCAGTTTGGAAACACTCTGTTTGGAAAGTCTGCACGTGGATATTTTGACCTCTTTGAGGCCTTCGTTGGAAACGGGTTTTTTTCATGTAAGGCTAGACAGAAGAAATCTCAGTAACTTCCTTGTGTTGTGTGTATTCAACTGACAGAGTTGAACCTTCCTTTAGACAGAGCAGATTCGAAACACTCTTTTTCTGCAATTTGCAAGTGGAGACTTCAAGCGCTTTGAGGCCAAAGGCAGAAAAGGAAATATCTTCGTATAAAAACCCGACAGAATCATTCTCAGAAACTGCTCTGTGATGTGTGCGTTCAACTCACAGAGTTTAACTTTTCTTTTCATTCAGCAGTTTGGAAACACTCTGTTTGTAAAGTCTGCAAGTGGATATCTTGGCCTCTTAGAGGCCTTCGTTGGAAACGGGTTTTTTCATGTAAGGTTAGACAGAGGAATTCCCAGTAACTTCCTTGTGTTGTGTGCATTCAACTCACAGAGTTGAATGATTCTTTACACAGAGCAGTTTTGAGACACTCTTTTGGTGGAATTTGTAAGTGGAGAATTCAGCCGCTTTGAGGTCAACGGTAGAAAAGGAAATATCTTCGTATAAAAACTAGACAGAATGATTCTCAGAAACTGTTTTGTGATGTGTGCGTTCAACTCACAGAGTTTAACCTTTCTTTTCAAAGAGCAGTTAGGAAACACTCTGTTTGTAAAGTCTGCAAGTGGATATTCAGACCTCTTTGAGGCCTTCGTTGGAAACGGGATTTCTTCATATTATGCTAGACAGATGAATTCTCAGTAACTTCCTTGTGTTGTGTGTATTCAACTCACAGAGTTGAACGATCCTTTACACAGAGCAGATTTGAAACACTGTTTTTCTGGAATTTGCAAGTGGAGATTTCAGCCGCTTTGAGGTCAATGGTAGAAAAGGAAATATCTTCGTATAAAAACTAGACAGAATGATTCTCAGAAACTCCTTTGTGATGTGTGCGTTCAACTCACAGAGTTTAACCTTTCTTTTCACAGAGCAGTTAGGAAACACTCTGTTTGTGAAGCCTGCCAGTGGATAATCGGACCTCTTTGAGGCCTTCGTTGGAAACGGGATTTCTTCATATTATGCCATTCAGAAGATTTCTCAGTAACTTCTTTGTGTTGTGTGTATGCAACTCACAGAGTTCAACCTTCCTTTAGACAGAGCAGATTTGAAACACTCTTTTTGTGGAATTTGCAAGTGGAGATTTCAAGCGCTTCGATGCCAATGGTAGAAAAGGAAATATCTTCATATAAAAACAAGACAAACTCGTTCCCAGACACTGCGTAGTGATGTGTGTGTTTAACTCACAGAGTTTCACCTTTCTTTTCATACAGCATTCTGGAAACCCTGTGTTTGTAAAGTCTGCAAGTGGATATTTGGACCTCTTAGATGCCTTCGTTGGAAACGGGATTTCTTCATATAATGCTAGAGGGAAGAATTCTTAGTAACTTCTTTGTGTTGTGTGTATTCAACTGACAGAGTTGAACCTTCCTTTAGACAGAGCAGATTTGAAAGTCTCTTTTTGTGGAATTTGCAAGTGGAGATTTCAAGCGCTTCGAGGCCAAAAGCAGAAAAGGAAATATTTTCCTATAAAAACTCGACAGAATCTTTCTCAGAAACTGCTCTGGGATGTGTGCGTTCAACTCACAGAGTTTAACTTTTCTTTTCATTCAGCAGTTTGGAAACACTCTGTTTGGAAAGTCTGCACGTGGATATTTTGACCTCTTTGAGGCCTTCGTTGGAAACGGGTTTTTTTCATGTAAGGCTAGACAGAAGAAATCTCAGTAACTTCCTTGTGTTGTGTGTATTCAACTGACAGAGTTGAACCTTCCTTTAGACAGAGCAGATTCGAAACACTCTTTTTCTGCAATTTGCAAGTGGAGACTTCAAGCGCTTTGAGGCCAAAGGCAGAAAAGGAAATATCTTCGTATAAAAACCCGACAGAATCACTCTCAGAAACTGCTCTGTGATGTGTGCGTTCAACTCACAGAGTTTAACTTTTCTTTTCATTCAGCAGTTTGGAAACACTCTGTTTGTAAAGTCTGCAAGTGGATATCTTGGCCTCTTAGAGGCCTTCGTTGGAAACGGGTTTTTTCATGTAAGGTTAGACAGAGGAATTCCCAGTAACTTCCTTGTGTTGTGTGCATTCAACTCACAGAGTTGAATGATTCTTTACACAGAGCAGATTTGAGACACTCTTTTGGTGGAATTTGTAAGTGGAGAATTCAGCCGCTTTGAGGTCAACGGTAGAAAAGGAAATATCTTCGTATAAAAACTAGACAGAATGATTCTCAGAAACTGTTTTGTGATGTGTGCGTTCAACTCACAGAGTTTAACCTTTCTTTTCAAAGAGCAGTTAGGAAACACTCTGTTTGTAAAGTCTGCAAGTGGATATTCAGACCTCTTTGAGGCCTTCGTTGGAAACGGGATTTCTTCATATTATGCTAGACAGATGAATTCTCAGTAACTTCCTTGTGTTGTGTGTATTCAACTCACAGAGTTGAACGATCCTTTACACAGAGCAGATTTGAAACACTGTTTTTCTGGAATTTGCAAGTGGAGATTTCAGCCGCTTTGAGGTCAATGGTAGAAAAAGAAATATCTTCGTATAAAAACTAGACAGAATGATTCTCAGAAACTCCTTTGTGATGTGTGCGTTCAACTCACAGAGTTTAACCTTTCTTTTCACAGAGCAGTTAGGAAACACTCTGTTTGTGAAGCCTGCCAGTGGATATTCGGACCTCTTTGAGGCCTTCGTTGGAAACGGGATTTCTTCATATTATGCTAGACAGAAGATTTCTCAGTAACTTCTTTGTGTTGTGTGTATGCAACCTCACAGAGTTCAACCTTCCTTTAGACAGAGCAGATTTGAAACACTCTTTTTGTGGAATTTGCAAGTGGAGATTTCAAGCGCTTCGATGCCAATGGTAGAAAAGGAAATATCTTCGTATAAAAACAAGACAAACTCGTTCCCAGACACTGCGTAGTGATGTGTGTGTTTAACTCACAGAGTTTAACCTTTCTTTTCATACAGCATTCTGGAAACCCTGTGTTTGTAAAGTCTGCAAGTGGATATTTGGACCTCTTAGATGCCTTCGTTGGAAACGGGATTTCTTCATATAATGCTAGAGGGAAGAATTCTTAGTAACTTCTTTGTGTTGTGTGTATTCAACTGACAGAGTTGAACCTTCCTTTAGACAGAGCAGATTTGAAAGTCTCTTTTTGTGGAATTTGCAAGTGGAGATTTCAAGCGCTTTGAGGCCAAAAGCAGAAAAGGAAATATTTTCCTATAAAAACTCGACAGAATCTTTCTCAGAAACTGCTCTGGGATGTGTGCGTTCAACTCACAGAGTTTAACTTTTCTTTTCATTCAGCAGTTTGGAAACACTCTGTTTGGAAAGTCTGCACGTGGATATTTTGACCTCTTTGAGGCCTTCGTTGGAAACGGGTTTTTTTCATGTAAGGCTAGACAGAAGAAATCTCAGTAACTTCCTTGTGTTGTGTGTATTCAACTGACAGAGTTGAACCTTCCTTTAGACAGAGCAGATTCGAAACACTCTTTTTCTGCAATTTGCAAGTGGAGACTTCAAGCGCTTTGAGGCCAAAGGCAGAAAAGGAAATATCTTCGTATAAAAACCCGACAGAATCATTCTCAGAAACTGCTCTGTGATGTGTGCGTTCAACTCACAGAGTTTAACTTTTCTTTTCATTCAGCAGTTTGGAAACACTCTGTTTGTAAAGTCTGCAAGTGGATATCTTGGCCTCTTAGAGGCCTTCGTTGGAAACGGGTTTTTTCATGTAAGGATAGACAGAGGAATTCCCAGTAACTTTCCTTGTGTTGTGTGCATTCAACTCACAGAGTTGAATGATTCTTTACACAGAGCAGATTTGAGACACTCTTTTGGTGGAATTTGAAAGTGGAGAATTCAGCCGCTTTGAGGTCAACGGTAGAAAAGGAAATATCTTCGTATAAAAACTAGACAGAATGATTCTCAGCAAACTGTTTTGTGATGTGTGCGTTCAACTCACAGAGTTTAACCTTTCTTTTCAAAGAGCAGTTAGGAAACACTCTGTTTGTAAAGTCTGCAAGTGGATATTCAGACCTCTTTGAGGCCTTCATTGGAAACGGGATTTCTTCATATTATGCTAGACAGATGAATTCTCAGTAACTTCCTTGTGTTGTGTGTATTCAACTCACAGAGTTGAACGATCCTTTACACAGAGCAGATTTGAAACACTGTTTTTCTGGAATTTGCAAGTGGAGATTTCAGCCGCTTTGAGGTCAATGGTAGAAAAGGAAATATCTTCGTATAAAAACTAGACAGAATGATTCTCAGAACTCCTTTGTGATGTGTGCGTTCAACTCACAGAGTTTAACCTTTCTTTTCACAGAGCAGTTAGGAAACACTCTGTTTGTGAAGCCTGCCAGTGGATATTCGGACCTCTTTGAGGCCTTCGTTGGAAACGGGATTTCTTCATATTATGCTAGACAGAAGATTTCTCAGTAACTTCTTTGTGTTGTGTGTATGCAACTCACAGAGTTCAACCTTCCTTTAGACAGAGCAGATTTGAAACACTCTTTTTGTGGAATTTGCAAGTGGAGATTTCAAGCGCTTCGATGCCAATGGTAGAAAAGGAAATATCTTCGTATAAAAACAAGACAAACTCGTTCCCAGACACTGCGTAGTGATGTGTGTGTTTAACTCACAGAGTTTAACCTTTCTTTTCATACAGCATTCTGGAAACCCTGTGTTTGTAAAGTCTGCAAGTGGATATTTGGACCTCTTAGATGCCTTCGTTGGAAACGGGATTTCTTCATATAATGCTAGAGGGAAGAATTCTTAGTAACTTCTTTGTGTTGTGTGTATTCAACTGACAGAGTTGAACCTTCCTTTAGACAGAGCAGATTTGAAAGTCTCTTTTTGTGGAATTTGCAAGTGGAGATTTCAAGCGCTTTGAGGCCAAAAGCAGAAAAGGAAATATTTTCCTATAAAAACTAGACAGAATCTTTCTCAGAAACTGCTCTGGGGATGTGTGCGTTCAACTCACAGAGTTTAACTTTTCTTTTCATTCAGCAGTTTGGAAACACTCTGTTTGGAAAGTCTGCACGTGGATATTTTGACCTCTTTGAGGCCTTCGTTGGAAACGGGTTTTTTTCATGTAAGGCTAGACAGAAGAAATCTCAGTAACTTCCTTGTGTTGTGTGTATTCAACTGACAGAGTTGAACCTTCTTTTAGACAGAGCAGATTCGAAACACTCTTTTTCTGCAATTTGCAAGTGGAGACTTCAAGCGCTTTGAGGCCAAAGGCAGAAAAGGAAATATCTTCGTATAAAAACCCGACAGAATCATTCTCAGAAACTGCTCTGTGATGTGTGCGTTCAACTCACAGAGTTTAACTTTTCTTTTCATTCAGCAGTTTGGAAACACTCTGTTTGTAAAGTCTGCAAGTGGATATCTTGGCCTCTTAGAGGCCTTCGTTGGAAACGGGTTTTTTCATGTAAGGTTAGACAGAGGAATTCCCAGTAACTTCCTTGTGTTGTGTGCATTCAACTCACAGAGTTGAATGATTCTTTACACAGAGCAGATTTGAGACACTCTTTTGGTGGAATTTGTAAGTGGAGAATTCAGCTGCTTTGAGGTCAACGGTAGAAAAGGAAATATCTTCGTATAAAAACTAGACAGAATGATTCTCAGAAACTGTTTTGTGATGTGTGCGTTCAACTCACAGAGTTTAACCTTTCTTTTCAAAGAGCAGTTAGGAAACACTCTGTTTGTAAAGTCTGCAAGTGGATATTCAGACCTCTTTGAGGCCTTCGTTGGAAACGGGATTTCTTCATATTATGCTAGACAGATGAATTCTCAGTAACTTCCTTGTGTTGTGTGTATTCAACTCACAGAGTTGAACGATCCTTTACACAGAGCAGATTTGAAACACTGTTTTTCTGGAATTTGCAAGTGGAGATTTCAGCTGCTTTGAGGTCAATGGTAGAAAAGGAAATATCTTCGTATAAAAACTAGACAGAATGATTCTCAGAAACTCCTTTGTGATGTGTGCGTTCAACTCACAGAGTTTAACCTTTCTTTTCACAGAGCAGTTAGGAAACACTCTGTTTGTGAAGCCTGCCAGTGGATATTCGGACCTCTTTGAGGCCTTCGTTGGAAACGGGATTTCTTCATATTATGCTAGACAGAAGATTTCTCAGTAACTTCTTTGTGTTGTGTGTATGCAACTTACAGAGTTCAACCTTCCTTTAGACAGAGCAGATTTGAAACACTCTTTTTGTGGAATTTGCAAGTGGAGATTTCAAGCGCTTTGAGGCCAAAAGCAGAAAAGGAAATATTTTCCTATAAAAACTAGACAGAATCTTTCTCAGAAACTGCTCTGTGATGTGTGCGTTCAACTCACAGAGTTTAACTTTTCTTTTCATTCAGCAGTTTGGAAACACTCTGTTTGTAAAGTCTGCAAGTGGATATCTTGGCCTCTTAGAGGCCTTCGTTGGAAACGGGTTTTTTCATGTAAGGATAGACAGAGGAATTCCCAGTAACTTCCTTGTGTTGTGTGCATTCAACTCACAGAGTTGAATGATTCTTTACACAGAGTAGATTTGAGACACTCTTTTGGTGGAATTTGTTAGTGGAGAATTCAGCCGCTTTGAGGTCAACGGTAGAAAAGGATATATCTTCGTATAAAAACTAGACAGAATGATTCTCAGAAACTGTTTTGTGATGTGTGCGTTCAACTCACAGAGTTTAACCTTTCTTTTCAAAGAGCAGTTAGGAAACACTCTGTTTGTAAAGTCTGCAAGTGGATATTCAGACCTCTTTGAGGCCTTCGTTGGAAACGGGATTTCTTCATATTATGCTAGACAGATGAATTCTCAGTAACTTCCTTGTGTTGTGTGTATTCAACTCACAGAGTTGAACGATCCTTTACACAGAGCAGATTTGAAACACTGTTTTTCTGGAATTTGCAAGTGGAGATTTCAGCCGCTTTGAGGTCAATGGTAGAAAAAGAAATATCTTCGTATAAAAACTAGACAGAATGATTCTCAGAAACTCCTTTGTGATGTGTGTGTTCAACTCACAGAGTTTAACCTTTCTTTTCACAGAGCAGTTAGGAAACACTCTGTTTGTGAAGCCTGCCAGTGGATATTCGGACCTCTTTGAGGCCTTCGTTGGAAACGGGATTTCTTCATATTATGCTAGACAGAAGATTTCTCAGTAACTTCTTTGTGTTGTGTGTATGCAACTCACAGAGTTCAACCTTCCTTTAGACAGAGCAGATTTGAAACACTCTTTTTGTGGAATTTGCAAGTGGAGATTTCAAGCGCTTCGATGCCAATGGTAGAAAAGGAAATATCTTCGTATAAAAACAAGACAAACTCGTTCCCAGACACTGCGTAGTGATGTGTGTGTTTAACTCACAGAGTTTCACCTTTCTTTTCATACAGCATTCTGGAAACCCTCTGTTTGTAAAGTCTGCAAGTGGATATTTGGACCTCTTAGATGCCTTCGTTGGAAACGGGATTTCTTCATATAATGCTAGAGGGAAGAATTCTTAGTAACTTCTTTGTGTTGTGTGTATTCAACTGACAGAGTTGAACCTTCCTTTAGACAGAGCAGATTTGAAAGTCTCTTTTTGTGGAATTTGCAAGTGGAGATTTCAAGCGCTTTGAGGCCAAAAGCAGAAAAGGAAATATTTTCCTATAAAAACTCGACAGAATCTTTCTCAGAAACTGCTCTGGGATGTGTGCGTTCAACTCACAGAGTTTAACTTTTCTTTTCATTCAGCAGTTTGGAAACACTCTGTTTGGAAAGTCTGCACGTGGATATTTTGACCTCTTTGAGGCCTTCGTTGGAAACGGGTTTTTTTCATGTAAGGCTAGACAGAAGAAATCTCAGTAACTTCCTTGTGTTGTGTGTATTCAACTGACAGAGTTGAACCTTCCTTTAGACAGAGCAGATTCGAAACACTCTTTTTCTGCAATTTGCAAGTGGAGACTTCAAGCGCTTTGAGGCCAAAGGCAGAAAAGGAAATATCTTCGTATAAAAACCCGACAGAATCATTCTCAGAAACTGCTCTGTGATGTGTGCGTTCAACTCACAGAGTTTAACTTTTCTTTTCATTCAGCAGTTTGGAAACACTCTGTTTGTAAAGTCTGCAAGTGGATATCTTGGCCTCTTAGAGGCCTTCGTTGGAAACGGGTTTTTTCATGTAAGGTTAGACAGAGGAATTCCCAGTAACTTTCCTTGTGTTGTATGCATTCAACTCACAGAGTTGAATGATTCTTTACACAGAGCAGATTTGAGACACTCTTTTGGTGGAATTTGTAAGTGGAGAATTCAGCCGCTTTGAGGTCAACGGTAGAAAAGGAAATATCTTCGTATAAAAACTAGAAAGAATGATTCTCAGAAACTGTTTTGTGATGTGTGCGTTCAACTCACAGAGTTTAACCTTTCTTTTCAAAGAGCAGTTAGGAAACACTCTGTTTGTAAAGTCTGCAAGTGGATATTCAGACCTCTTTGAGGCCTTCGTTGGAAACGGGATTTCTTCATATTATGCTAGACAGATGAATTCTCAGTAACTTCCTTGTGTTGTGTGTATTCAACTCACAGAGTTGAACGATCCTTTACACAGAGCAGATTTGAAACACTGTTTTTCTGGAATTTGCAAGTGGAGATTTCAGCCGCTTTGAGGTCAACGGTAGAAAAGGAAATATCTTCGTATAAAAACTAGACAGAATGATTCTCAGAAACTGTTTTGTGATGTGTGCGTTCAACTCACAGAGTTTAACCTTTCTTTTCAAAGAGCAGTTAGGAAACACTCTGTTTGTAAAGTCTGCAAGTGGATATTCGGACCTCTTTGAGGCCTTTGTTGGAAACGGGATTTCTTCATATTATGCTAGACAGAAGATTTCTCAGTAACTTCTTTGTGTTGTGTGTATGCAACTCACAGAGTTCAACCTTCCTTTAGACAGAGCAGATTTGAAACACTCTTTTTGTGGAATTTGCAAGTGGAGATTTCAAGCGCTTCGATGCCAATGGTAGAAAAGGAAATATCTTCGTATAAAAACAAGACAAACTCGTTCCCAGACACTGCGTAGTGATGTGTGTGTTTAACTCACAGAGTTTCACCTTTCTTTTCATACAGCATTCTGGAAACCCTCTGTTTGTAAAGTCTGCAAGTGGATATTTGGACCTCTTAGATGCCTTCGTTGGAAACGGGATTTCTTCATATAATGCTAGAGGGAAGAATTCTTAGTAACTTCTTTGTGTTGTGTGTATTCAACTGACAGAGTTGAACCTTCCTTTAGACAGAGCAGATTTGAAAGTCTCTTTTTGTGGAATTTGCAAGTGGAGATTTCAAGCGCTTTGAGGCCAAAAGCAGAAAAGGAAATATTTTCCTATAAAAACTAGACAGAATCTTTCTCAGAAACTGCTCTGGGACGTGTGCGTTCAACTCACAGAGTTTAACTTTTCTTTTCATTCAGCAGTTTGGAAACACTCTGTTTGGAAAGTCTGCACGTGGATATTTTGACCTCTTTGAGGCCTTCGTTGGAAACGGGTTTTTTTCATGTAAGGCTAGACAGAAGAAATCTCAGTAACTTCCTTGTGTTGTGTGTATTCAACTGACAGAGTTGAACCTTCCTTTAGACAGAGCAGATTCGAAACACTCTTTTTCTGCAATTTGCAAGTGGAGACTTCAAGCGCTTTGAGGCCAAAGGCAGAAAAGGAAATATCTTCGTATAAAAACCCGACAGAATCATTCTCAGAAACTGCTCTGTGATGTGTGCGTTCAACTCACAGAGTTTAACTTTTCTTTTCATTCAGCAGTTTGGAAACACTCTGTTTGTAAAGTCTGCAAGTGGATATCTTGGCCTCTTAGAGGCCTTCATTGGAAACGGGTTTTTTCATGTAAGGTTAGACAGAGGAATTCCCAGTAACTTCCTTGTGTTGTGTGCATTCAACTCACAGAGTTGAATGATTCTTTACACAGAGCAGATTTGAGACACTCTTTTGGTGGAATTTGTAAGTGGAGAATTCAGCCGCTTTGAGGTCAACGGTAGAAAAGGAAATATCTTCGTATAAAAACTAGACAGAATGATTATCAGAAACTGTTTTGTGATGTGTGCGTTCAACTCACAGAGTTTAACCTTTCTTTTCAAAGAGCAGTTAGGAAACACTCTGTTTGTAAAGTCTGCAAGTGGATATTCAGACCTCTTTGAGGCCTTCGTTGGAAACGGGATTTCTTCATATTATGCTAGACAGATGAATTCTCAGTAACTTCCTTGTGTTGTGTGTATTCAACTCACAGAGTTGAACGATCCTTTACACAGAGCAGATTTGAAACACTGTTTTTCTGGAATTTGCAAGTGGAGATTTCAGCCGCTTTGAGGTCAATGGTAGAAAAGGAAATATCTTCGTATAAAAACTAGACAGAATGATTCTCAGAAACTCCTTTGTGATGTGTGCGTTCAACTCACAGAGTTTAACCTTTCTTTTCACAGAGCAGTTAGGAAACACTCTGTTTGTGAAGCCTGCCAGTGGATATTCGGACCTCTTTGAGGCCTTCGTTGGAAACGGGATTTCTTCATATTATGCCAGACAGAAGATTTCTCAGTAACTTCTTTGTGTTGTGTGTATGCAACTCACAGAGTTCAACCTTCCTTTAGACAGAGCAGATTTGAAACACTCTTTTTGTGGAATTTGCAAGTGGAGATTTCAAGCGCTTCGATGCCAATGGTAGAAAAGGAAATATCTTCGTATAAAAACAAGACAAACTCGTTCCCAGACACTGCGTAGTGATGTGTGTGTTTAACTCACAGAGTTTCACCTTTCTTTTCATACAGCATTCTGGAAACCCTCTGTTTGTAAAGTCTGCAAGTGGATATTTGGACCTCTTAGATGCCTTCGTTGGAAACGGGATTTCTTCATATAATGCTAGAGGGAAGAATTCTTAGTAACTTCTTTGTGTTTTGTGTATTCAACTGACAGAGTTGAACCTTCCTTTAGACAGAGCAGATTTGAAAGTCTCTTTTTGTGGAATTTGCAAGTGGAGATTTCAAGCGCTTTGAGGCCAAAAGCAGAAAAGGAAATATTTTCCTATACAAACTCGACAGAATCTTTCTCAGAAACTGCTCTGGGACGTGTGCGTTCAACTCACAGAGTTTAACTTTTCTTTTCATTCAGCAGTTTGGAAACACTCTGTTTGGAAAGTCTGCACGTGGATATTTTGACCTGCTTTGAGGCCTTTGTTGGAAACGGGTTTTTTTCATGTAAGGCTAGACAGAAGAAATCTCAGTAACTTCCTTGTGTTGTGTGTATTCAACTGACAGAGTTGAACCTTCCTTTAGACAGAGCAGATTCGAAACACTCTTTTTCTGCAATTTGCAAGTGGAGACTTCAAGCGCTTTGAGGCCAAAGGCAGAAAAGGAAATATCTTCGTATAAAAACCCGACAGAATCATTCTCAGAAACTGCTCTGTGATGTGTGCGTTCAACTCACAGAGTTTAACTTTTCTTTTCATTCAGCAGTTTGGAAACACTCTGTTTGTAAAGTCTGCAAGTGGATATCTTGGCCTCTTAGAGGCCTTCGTTGGAAACGGGTTTTTTCATGTAAGGTTAGACAGAGGAATTCCCAGTAACTTCCTTGTGTTGTGTGCATTCAACTCACAGAGTTGAATGATTCTTTACACAGAGCAGATTTGAGACACTCTTTTGGTGGAATTTGTAAGTGGAGAATTCAGCCGCTTTGAGGTCAACGGTAGAAAAGGAAATATCTTCGTATAAAAACTAGACAGAATGATTCTCAGAAACTGTTTTGTGATGTGTGCGTTCAACTCACAGAGTTTAACCTTTCTTTTCAAAGAGCAGTTAGGAAACACTCTGTTTGTAAAGTCTGCAAGTGGATATTCAGACCTCTTTGAGGCCTTCGTTGGAAACGGGATTTCTTCATATTATGCTAGACAGATGAATTCTCAGTAACTTCCTTGTGTTGTGTGTATTCAACTCACAGAGTTGAACGATCCTTTACACAGAGCAGATTTGAAACACTGTTTTTCTGGAATTTGCAAGTGGAGATTTCAGCCGCTTTGAGGTCAATGGTAGAAAAAGAAATATCTTCGTATAAAAACTAGACAGAATGATTCTCAGAAACTCCTTTGTGATGTGTGCGTTCAACTCACAGAGTTTAACCTTTCTTTTCACAGAGCAGTTAGGAAACACTCTGTTTGTGAAGCCTGCCAGTGGATATTCGGACCTCTTTGAGGCCTTCGTTGGAAACGGGATTTCTTCATATTATGCTAGACAGAAGATTTCTCAGTAACTTCTTTGTGTTGTGTGTATGCAACTCACAGAGTTCAACCTTCCTTTAGACAGAGCAGATTTGAAACACTCTTTTTGTGGAATTTGCAAGTGGAGATTTCAAGCGCTTCGATGCCAATGGTAGAAAAGGAAATATCTTCGTATAAAAACAAGACAAACTCGTTCCCAGACACTGCGTAGTGATGTGTGTGTTTAACTCACAGAGTTTCACCTTTCTTTTCATACAGCATTCTGGAAACCGTGTGTTTGTAAAGTCTGCAAGTGGATATTTGGACCTCTTAGATGCCTTCGTTGGAAACGGGATTTCTTCATATAATGCTAGAGGGAAGAATTCTTAGTAACTTCTTTGTGTTGTGTGTATTCAACTGACAGAGTTGAACCTTCCTTTAGACAGAGCAGATTTGAAAGTCTCTTTTTGTGGAATTTGCAAGTGGAGATTTCAAGCGCTTTGAGGCCGAAAGCAGAAAAGGAAATATTTTCCTATAAAAACTCGACAGAATCTTTCTCAGAAACTGCTCTGGGATGTGTGCGTTCAACTCACAGAGTTTAACTTTTCTTTTCATTCAGCAGTTTGGAAACACTCTGTTTGGAAAGTCTGCACGTGGATATTTTGACCTCTTTGAGGCCTTCGTTGGAAACGGGTTTTTTTCATGTAAGGCTAGACAGAAGAAATCTCAGTAACTTCCTTGTGTTGTGTGTATTCAACTGACAGAGTTGAACCTTCCTTTAGACAGAGCAGATTCGAAACACTCTTTTTCTGCAATTTGCAAGTGGAGACTTCAAGCGCTTTGAGGCCAAAGGCAGAAAAGGAAATATCTTCGTATAAAAACCCGACAGAATCATTCTCAGAAACTGCTCTGTGATGTGTGCGTTCAACTCACAGAGTTTAACTTTTCTTTTCATTCAGCAGTTTGGAAACACTCTGTTTGTAAAGTCTGCAAGTGGATATCTTGGCCTCTTAGAGGCCTTCGTTGGAAACGGGTTTTTTCATGTAAGGTTAGACAGAGGAATTCCCAGTAACTTCCTTGTGTTGTGTGCATTCAACTCACAGAGTTGAATGATTCTTTACACAGAGCAGATTTGAGACACTCTTTTGGTGGAATTTGTAAGTGGAGAATTCAGCCGCTTTGAGGTCAACGGTAGAAAAGGAAATATCTTCGTATAAAAACTAGACAGAATGATTCTCAGAAACTGTTTTGTGATGTGTGCTTTCAACTCACAGAGTTTAACCTTTCTTTTCAAAGAGCAGTTAGGAAACACTCTGTTTGTAAAGTCTGCAAGTGGATATTCAGACCTCTTTGAGGCCTTCGTTGGAAACGGGATTTCTTCATATTATGCTAGACAGATGAATTCTCAGTAACTTCCTTGTGTTGTGTGTATTCAACTCACAGAGTTGAACGATCCTTTACACAGAGCAGATTTGAAACACTGTTTTTCTGGAATTTGCAAGTGGAGATTTCAGCCGCTTTGAGGTCAATGGTAGAAAAGGAAATATCTTCGTATAAAAACTAGACAGAATGATTCTCAGAAACTCCTTTGTGATGTGTGCGTTCAACTCACAGAGTTTAACCTTTCTTTTCACAGAGCAGTTAGGAAACACTCTGTTTGTGAAGCCTGCCAGTGGATATTCGGACCTCTTTGAGGCCTTCGTTGGAAACGGGATTTCTTCATATTATGCTAGACAGAAGATTTCTCAGTAACTTCTTTGTGTTGTGTGTATGCAACTCACAGAGTTCAACCTTCCTTTAGACAGAGCAGATTTGAAACACTCTTTTTGTGGAATTTGCAAGTGGAGATTTCAAGCACTTTGAGGCCAAAAGCAGAAAAGGAAATATTTTCCTATAAAAACTAGACAGAATCTTTCTCAGAAACTGCTCTGTGATGTGTGCGTTCAACTCACAGAGTTTAACTTTTCTTTTCATTCAGCAGTTTGGAAACACTCTGTTTGTAAAGTCTGCAAGTGGATATCTTGGCCTCTTAGAGGCCTTCGTTGGAAACGGGTTTTTTCATGTAAGGATAGACAGAGGAATTCCCAGTAACTTCCTTGTGTTGTGTGCATTCAACTCACAGAGTTGAATGATTCTTTACACAGAGCAGATTTGAGACACTCTTTTGGTGGAATTTGTAAGTGGAGAATTCAGCCGCTTTGAGGTCAACGGTAGAAAAGGAAATATCTTCGTATAAAAACTAGACAGAATGATTCTCAGAAACTGTTTTGTGATGTGTGCGTTCAACTCACAGAGTTTAACCTTTCTTTTCAGAGAGCAGTTAGGAAACACTCTGTAAAGTCTGCAAGTGGATATTCAGACCTCTTTGAGGCCTTCGTTGGAAACGGGATTTCTTCATATTATGCTAGACAGATGAATTCTCAGTAACTTCCCTTGTGTTGTGTGTATTCAACTCACAGAGTTGAACGATCCTTTACACAGAGCAGATTTGAAACACTGTTTTTCTGGAATTTGCAAGTGGAGATTTCAGCCGCTTTGAGGTCAATGGTAGAAAAGGAAATATCTTCGTATAAAAACTAGACAGAATGATTCTCAGAAACTCCTTTGTGATGTGTGCGTTCAACTCACAGAGTTTAACCTTTCTTTTCACAGAGCAGTTAGGAAACACTCTGTTTGTGAAGCCTGCCAGTGGATAATCGGACCTCTTTGAGGCCTTCGTTGGAAACGGGATTTCTTCATATTATGCTAGACAGAAGATTTCTCAGTAACTTCTTTGTGTTGTGTGTATGCAACTCACAGAGTTCAACCTTCCTTTAGACAGAGCAGATTTGAAACACTCTTTTTGTGGAATTTGCAAGTGGAGATTTCAAGCGCTTCGATGCCAATGGTAGAAAAGGAAATATCTTCGTATAAAAACAAGACAAACTCGTTCCCAGACACTGCGTAGTGATGTGTGTGTTTAACTCACAGAGATTAACCTTTCTTTTCATACAGCATTCTGGAAACCCTGTGTTTGTAAAGTCTGCAAGTGGATATTTGGACCTCTTAGATGCCTTCGTTGGAAACGGGATTTCTTCATATAATGCTAGAGGGAAGAATTCCTAGTAACTTCTTTGTGTTGTGTGTATTCAACTGACAGAGTTGAACCTTCCTTTAGACAGAGCAGATTTGAAAGTCTCTTTCTGTGGAATTTGCAAGTGGAGATTTCAAGCGCTTTGAGGCCAAAAGCAGAAAAGGAAATATTTTCCTATAAAAACTCGACAGAATCTTTCTCAGAAACTGCTCTGGGATGTGTGCGTTCAACTCACAGAGTTTAACTTTTCTTTTCATTCAGCAGTTTGGAAACACTCTGTTTGGAAAGTCTGCACGTGGATATTTTGACCTCTTTGAGGCCTTCGTTGGAAACGGGTTTTTTTCATGTAAGGCTAGACAGAAGAAATCTCAGTAACTTCCTTGTGTTGTGTGTATTCAACTGACAGAGTTGAACCTTCCTTTAGACAGAGCAGATTCGAAACACTCTTTTTCTGCAATTTGCAAGTGGAAAGTTCAAGCGCTTTGAGGCCAAAGGCAGAAAAGGAAATATCTTCGTATAAAAACCCGACAGAATCTTTCTCAGAAACTGCTCTGTGATGTGTGCGTTCAACTCACAGAGTTTAACTTTTCTTTTCATTCAGCAGTTTGGAAACACTCTGTTTGTAAAGTCTGCAAGTGGATATCTTGGCCTCTTAGAGGCCTTCGTTGGAAACTGGGTTTTTTCATGTAAGGATAGACAGAGGAATTCCCAGTAACTTCCTTGTGTTGTGTGCATTCAACTCACAGAGTTGAATGATTCTTTACACAGAGCAGATTTGAGACACTCTTTTGGTGGAATTTGTAAGTGGAGAATTCAGCCGCTTTGAGGTCAACGGTAGAAAAGGAAATATCTTCGTATAAAAACTAGACAGAATGATTCTCAGAAACTGTTTTGTGATGTGTGCGTTCAACTCACAGAGTTTAACCTTTCTTTTCAAAGAGCAGTTAGGAAACACTCTGTTTGTAAAGTCTGCAAGTGGATATTCAGACCTCTTTGAGGCCTTCGTTGGAAACGGGATTTCTTCATATTATGCTAGACAGATGAATTCTCAGTAACTTCCTTGTGTTGTGTGTATTCAACTCACAGAGTTGAACGATCCTTTACACAGAGCAGATTTGAAACACTGTTTTTCTGGAATTTGCAAGTGGAGATTTCAGCCGCTTTGAGGTCAATGGTAGAAAAGGAAATATCTTCGTATAAAAACTAGACAGAATGATTCTCAGAAACTCCTTTGTGATGTGTGCGTTCAACTCACAGAGTTTAACCTTTCTTTTCACAGAGCAGTTAGGAAACACTCTGTTTGTGAAGCCTGCCAGTGGATAATCGGACCTCTTTGAGGCCTTCGTTGGAAACGGGATTTCTTCATATTATGCTAGACAGAAGATTTCTCAGTAACTTCTTTGGGTTGTGTGTATGCAACTCACAGAGTTCAACCTTCCTTTAGACAGAGCAGATTTGAAACACTCTTTTTGTGGAATTTGCAAGTGGAGATTTCAAGCCCTTCGATGCCAATGGTAGAAAAGGAAATATCTTCGTATAAAAACAAGACAAACTCGTTCCCAGACACTGCGTAGTGATGTGTGTGTTTAACTCACAGAGTTTAACCTTTCTTTTCATACAGCATTCTGGAAACCCTCTGTTTGTAAAGTCTGCAAGTGGATATTTGGACCTCTTAGATGCCTTCGTTGGAAACGGGATTTCTTCATATAATGCTAGAGGGAAGAATTCTTAGTAACTTCTTTGTGTTGTGTGTATTCAACTGACAGAGTTGAACCTTCCTTTAGACAGAGCAGATTTGAAAGTCTCTTTTTGTGGAATTTGCAAGTGGAGATTTCAAGCGCTTTGAGGCCAAAAGCAGAAAAGGAAATATTTTCCTATAAAAACTAGACAGAATCTTTCTCAGAAACTGCTCTGGGATGTGTGCGTTCAACTCACAGAGTTTATACTTTTCTTTTCATTCAGCAGTTTGGAAACACTCTGTTTGGAAAGTCTGCACATGGATATTTTGACCTCTTTGAGGCCTTCGTTGGAAACGGGTTTTTTTCATGTAAGGCTAGACAGAAGAAATCTCAGTAACTTCCTTGTGTTGTGTGTATTCAACTGACAGAGTTGAACCTTCCTTTAGACAGAGCAGATTCGAAACACTCTTTTTCTGCAATTTGCAAGTGGAGACTTCAAGCGCTTTGAGGCCAAAGGCAGAAAAGGAAATATCTTCGTATAAAAACCCGACAGAATCATTCTCAGAAACTGCTCTGTGATGTGTGCGTTCAACTCACAGAGTTTAACTTTTCTTTTCATTCAGCAGTTTGGAAACACTCTGTTTGTAAAGTCTGCAAGTGGATATCTTGGCCTCTTAGAGGCCTTCGTTGGAAGCGGGTTTTTTCATGTAAGGTTAGACAGAGGAATTCCCACTAACTTCCTTGTGTTGTGTGCATTCAACTCACAGAGTTGAATGATTCTTTACACAGAGCAGATTTGAGACACTCTTTTGGTGGAATTTGTAAGTGGAGAATTCAGCCGCTTTGATGTCAACGGTAGAAAAGGAAATATCTTCGTATAAAAACTAGACAGAATGATTCTCAGAAACTGTTTTGTGATGTGTGCTTTCAACTCACAGAGTTTAACCTTTCTTTTCAAAGAGCAGTTAGGAAACACTCTGTTTGTAAAGTCTGCAAGTGGATATTCAGACCTCTTTGAGGCCTTCGTTGGAAACGGGATTTCTTCATATTATGCTAGACAGATGAATTCTCAGTAACTTCCTTGTGTTGTGTGTATTCAACTCACAGAGTTGAACGATCCTTTACACAGAGCAGATTTGAAACACTGTTTTTCTGGAATTTGCAAGTGGAGATTTCAGCCGCTTTGAGGTCAATGGTAGAAAAGGAAATATCTTCGTATAAAAACTAGACAGAATGATTCTCAGAAACTCCTTTGTGATGTGTGCGTTCAACTCACAGAGTTTAACCTTTCTTTTCACAGAGCAGTTAGGAAACACTCTGTTTGTGAAGCCTGCCAGTGGATATTCGGACCTCTTTGAGGCCTTCGTTGGAAACGGGATTTCTTCATATTATGCTAGACAGAAGATTTCTCAGTAACTTCTTTGTGTTGTGTGTATGCAACTCACAGAGTTCAACCTTCCTTTAGACAGAGCAGATTTGAAACACTCTTTTTGTGGAATTTGCAAGTGGAGATTTCAAGCGCTTCGATGCCAATGGTAGAAAAGGAAATATCTTCGTATAAAAACAAGACAAACTCGTTCCCAGACACTGCGTAGTGATGTGTGTGTTTAACTCACAGAGTTTAACCTTTCTTTTCATACAGCATTCTGGAAACCCTCTGTTTGTAAAGTCTGCAAGTGGATATTTGGACCTCTTAGATGCCTTCGTTGGAAACGGGATTTCTTCATATAATGCTAGAGGGAAGAATTCTTAGTAACTTCTTTGTGTTGTGTGTATTCAACTGACAGAGTTGAACCTTCCTTTAGACAGAGCAGATTTGAAAGTCTCTTTTTGTGGAATTTGCAAGTGGAGATTTCAAGCGCTTTGAGGCCAAAAGCAGAAAAGGAAATATTTTCCTATAAAAACTAGACAGAATCTTTCTCAGAAACTGCTCTGGGATGTGTGCGTTCAACTCACAGAGTTTAACTTTTCTTTTCATTCAGCAGTTTGGAAACACTCTGTTTGGAAAGTCTGCACGTGGATATTTTGACATCTTTGAGGCCTTCGTTGGAAACGGGTTTTTTTCATGTAAGGCTAGACAGAAGAAATCTCAGTAACTTCCTTGTGTTGTGTGTATTCAACTGACAGAGTTGAACCTTCCTTTAGACAGAGCAGATTCGAAACACTCTTTTTCTGCAATTTGCAAGTGGAGACTTCAAGCGCTTTGAGGCCAAAGGCAGAAAAGGAAATATCTTCGTATAAAAACCCGACAGAATCATTCTCAGAAACTGCTCTGTGATGTGTGCGTTCAACTCACAGAGTTTAACTTTTCTTCTCATTCAGCAGTTTGGAAACACTCTGTTTGTAAAGTCTGCAAGTGGATATCTTGGCCTCTTAGAGGCCTTCGTTGGAAACGGGTTTTTTCATGTAAGGATAGACAGAGGAATTCCCAGTAACTTCCTTGTGTTGTGTGCATTCAACTCACAGAGTTGAATGATTCTTTACACAGAGCAGATTTGAGACACTCTTTTGGTGGAATTTGTAAGTGGAGAATTCAGCCGCTTTGAGGTCAACGGTAGAAAAGGAAATATCTTCGTATAAAAACTAGACAGAATGATTCTCAGAAACTGTTTTGTGATGTGTGCGTTCAACTCACAGAGTTTAACCTTTCTTTTCAAAGAGCAGTTAGGAAACACTCTGTTTGTAAAGTCTGCAAGTGGATATTCAGACCTCTTTGAGGCCTTCGTTGGAAACGGGATTTCTTCATATTATGCTAGACAGATGAATTCTCAGTAACTTCCTTGTGTTGTGTGTATTCAACTCACAGAGTTCAACCTTCCTTTAGACAGAGCAGATTTGAAACACTCTTTTTGTGGAATTTGCAAGTGGAGATTTCAAGCGCTTCGATGCCAATGGTAGAAAAGGAAATATCTTCGTATAAAAACAAGACAAACTCGTTCCCAGACACTGCGTAGTGATGTGTGTGTTTAACTCACAGAGTTTCACCTTTCTTTTCATACAGCATTCTGGAAACCCTCTGTTTGTAAAGTCTGCAAGTGGATATTTGGACCTCTTAGATGCCTTCGTTGGAAACGGGATTTCTTCATATAATGCTAGAGGGAAGAATTCTTAGTAACTTCTTTGTGTTGTGTGTATTCAACTGACAGAGTTGAACCTTCCTTTAGACAGAGCAGATTTGAAAGTCTCTTTTTGTGGAATTTGCAAGTGGAGATTTCAAGCGCTTTGAGGCCAAAAGCAGAAAAGGAAATATTTTCCTATAAAAACTAGACAGAATCTTTCTCAGAAACTGCTCTGGGACGTGTGCGTTCAACTCACAGAGTTTAACTTTTCTTTTCATTCAGCAGTTTGGAAACACTCTGTTTGGAAAGTCTGCACGTGGATATTTTGACCTCTTTGAGGCCTTCGTTGGAAACGGGTTTTTTTCATGTAAGGCTAGACAGAAGAAATCTCAGTAACTTCCTTGTGTTGTGTGTATTCAACTGACAGAGTTGAACCTTCCTTTAGACAGAGCAGATTCGAAACACTCTTTTTCTGCAATTTGCAAGTGGAGACTTCAAGCGCTTTGAGGCCAAAGGCAGAAAAGGAAATATCTTCGTATAAAAACCCGACAGAATCATTCTCAGAAACTGCTCTGTGATGTGTGCGTTCAACTCACAGAGTTTAACTTTTCTTTTCATTCAGCAGTTTGGAAACACTCTGTTTGTAAAGTCTGCAAGTGGATATCTTGGCCTCTTAGAGGCCTTCGTTGGAAACGGGTTTTTTCATGTAAGGTTAGACAGAGGAATTCCCAGTAACTTCCTTGTGTTGTGTGCATTCAACTCACAGAGTTGAATGATTCTTTACACAGAGCAGATTTGAGACACTCTTTTGGTGGAATTTGTAAGTGGAGAATTCAGCCGCTTTGAGGTCAACGGTAGAAAAGGAAATATCTTCGTATAAAAACTAGACAGAATGATTCTCAGAAACTGTTTTGTGATGTGTGCGTTCAACTCACAGAGTTTAACCTTTCTTTTCAAAGAGCAGTTAGGAAACACTCTGTTTGTAAAGTCTGCAAGTGGATATTCAGACCTCTTTGAGGCCTTCGTTGGAAACGGGATTTCTTCATATTATGCTAGACAGATGAATTCTCAGTAACTTCCTTGTGTTGTGTGTATTCAACTCACAGAGTTGAACGATCCTTTACACAGAGCAGATTTGAAACACTGTTTTTCTGGAATTTGCAAGTGGAGATTTCAGCCGCTTTGAGGTCAATGGTAGAAAAGGAAATATCTTCGTATAAAAACTAGACAGAATGATTCTCAGAAACTCCTTTGTGATGTGTGCGTTCAACTCACAGGGTTTAACCTTTCTTTTCACAGAGCAGTTAGGAAACACTCTGTTTGTGAAGCCTGCCAGTGGATATTCGGACCTCTTTGAGGCCTTCGTTGGAAACGGGATTTCTTCATATTATGCTAGACAGAAGATTTCTCAGTAACTTCTTTGTGTTGTGTGTATGCAACTCACAGAGTTCAACCTTCCTTTAGACAGAGCAGATTTGAAACACTCTTTTTGTGGAATTTGCAAGTGGAGATTTCAAGCGCTTCGATGCCAATGGTAGAAAAGGAAATATCTTCGTATAAAAACAAGACAAACTCGTTCCCAGACACTGCGTAGTGATGTGTGTGTTTAACTCACAGAGTTTCACCTTTCTTTTCATACAGCATTCTGGAAACCCTCTGTTTGTAAAGTCTGCAAGTGGATATTTGGACCTCTTAGATGCCTTCGTTGGAAACGGGATTTCTTCATATAATGCTAGAGGGAAGAATTCTTAGTAACTTCTTTGTGTTGTGTGTATTCAACTGACAGAGTTGAACCTTCCTTTAGACAGAGCAGATTTGAAAGTCTCTTTTTGTGGAATTTGCAAGTGGAGATTTCAAGCGCTTTGAGGCCAAAAGCAGAAAAGGAAATGTTTTCCTATAAAAACTAGACAGAATCTTTCTCAGAAACTGCTCTGGGATGTGTGCGTTCAACTCACAGAGTTTAACTTTTCTTTTCATTCAGCAGTTTGGAAACACTCTGTTTGGAAAGTCTGCACGTGGATATTTTGACCTCTTTGAGGCCTTCGTTGGAAACGGGTTTTTTTCATGTAAGGCTAGACAGAAGAAATCTCAGTAACTTCCTTGTGTTGTGTGTATTCAACTGACAGAGTTGAACCTTCTTTTAGACAGAGCAGATTCGAAACACTCTTTTTCTGCAATTTGCAAGTGGAGACTTCAAGCGCTTTGAGGCCAAAGGCAGAAAAGGAAATATCTTCGTATAAAAACCCGACAGAATCATTCTCAGAAACTGCTCTGTGATGTGTGCGTTCAACTCACAGAGTTTAACTTTTCTTTTCATTCAGCAGTTTGGAAACACTCTGTTTGTAAAGTCTGCAAGTGGATATCTTGGCCTCTTAGAGGCCTTCGTTGGAAACGGGTTTTTTCATGTAAGGTTAGACAGAGGAATTCCCAGTAACTTCCTTGTGTTGTGTGCATTCAACTCACAGAGTTGAATGATTCTTTACACAGAGCAGATTTGAGACACTCTTTTGGTGGAATTTGTAAGTGGAGAATTCAGCCGCTTTGAGGTCAACGGTAGAAAAGGAAATATCTTCGTATAAAAACTAGACAGAATGATTCTCAGAAACTGTTTTGTGATGTGTGCGTTCAACTCACAGAGTTTAACCTTTCTTTTCAAAGAGCAGTTAGGAAACACTCTGTTTGTAAAGTCTGCAAGCGGATATTCAGACCTCTTTGAGGCCTTCGTTGGAAACGGGATTTCTTCATATTATGCTAGACAGATGAATTCTCAGTAACTTCCTTGTGTTGTGTGTATTCAACTCACAGAGTTGAACGATCCTTTACACAGAGCAGATTTGAAACACTGTTTTTCTGGAATTTGCAAGTGGAGATTTCAGCCGCTTTGAGGTCAATGGTAGAAAAGGAAATATCTTCGTATAAAAACTAGACAGAATGATTCTCAGAAACTCCTTTGTGATGTGTGCGTTCAACTCACAGAGTTTAACCTTTCTTTTCACAGAGCAGTTAGGAAACACTCTGTTTGTGAAGCCTGCCAGTGGATATTCGGACCTCTTTGAGGCCTTCGTTGGAAACGGGATTTCTTCGTATTATGCTAGACACAAGATTTCTCAGTAACTTCTTTGTGTTGTGTGTATGCAACTCACAGAGTTCAACCTTCCTTTAGACAGAGCAGATTTGAAACACTCTTTTTGTGGAATTTGCAAGTGGAGATTTCAAGCGCTTCGATGCCAATGGTAGAAAAGGAAATATCTTCGTATAAAAACAAGACAAACTCGTTCCCAGACACTGCGTAGTGATGTGTGTGTTTAACTCACAGAGTTTAACCTTTCTTTTCATACAGCATTCTGGAAACCCTGTGTTTGTAAAGTCTGCAAGTGGATATTTGGACCTCTTAGATGCCTTCGTTGGAAACGGGATTTCTTCATATAATGCTAGAGGGAAGAATTCTTAGTAACTTCTTTGTGTTGTGTGTATTCAACTGACAGAGTTGAACCTTCCTTTAGACAGAGCAGATTTGAAAGTCTCTTTTTGTGGAATTTGCAAGTGGAGATTTCAAGCGCTTTGAGGCCAAAAGCAGAAAAGGAAATATTTTCCTATAAAAACTCGACAGAATCTTTCTCAGAAACTGCTCTGGGATGTGTGCGTTCAACTCACAGAGTTTAACTTTTCTTTTCATTCAGCAGTTTGGAAACACTCTGTTTGGAAAGTCTGCACGTGGATATTTTGACCTCTTTGAGGCCTTCGTTGGAAACGGGTTTTTTTCATGTAAGCTAGACAGAAGAAATCTCAGTAACTTCCTTGTGTTGTGTGTATTCAACTGACAGAGTTGAACCTTCCTTTAGACAGAGCAGATTCGAAACACTCTTTTTCTGCAATTTGCAAGTGGAGACTTCAAGCGCTTTGAGGCCAAAGGCAGAAAAGGAAATATCTTCGTATAAAAACCCGACAGAATCATTCTCAGAAACTGCTCTGTGATGTGTGCGTTCAACTCACAGAGTTTAACTTTTCTTTTCATTCAGCAGTTTGGAAACACTCTGTTTGTAAAGTCTGCAAGTGGATATCTTGGCCTCTTAGAGGCCTTCGTTGGAAACGGGTTTTTTCATGTAAGGTTAGACAGAGGAATTCCCACTAACTTCCTTGTGTTGTGTGCATTCAACTCACGGAGTTGAATGATTCTTTACACAGAGCAGATTTGAGACACTCTTTTGGTGGAATTTGTAAGTGGAGAATTCAGCCGCTTTGAGGTCAACGGTAGAAAAGGAAATATCTTCGTATAAAAACTAGACAGAATGATTCTCAGAAACTGTTTTGTGATGTGTGCGTTCAACTCACAGAGTTTAACCTTTCTTTTCAAAGAGCAGTTAGGAAACACTCTGTTTGTAAAGTCTGCAAGTGGATATTCAGACCTCTTTGAGGCCTTCGTTGGAAACGGGATTTCTTCATATTATGCTAGACAGATGAATTCTCAGTAACTTCCTTGTGTTGTGTGTATTCAACTCACAGAGTTGAACGATCCTTTACACAGAGCAGATTTGAAACACTGTTTTTCTGGAATTTGCAAGTGGAGATGTCAGCCGCTTTGAGGTCAATGGTAGAAAAGGAAATATCTTCGTATAAAAACTAGACAGAATGATTCTCAGAAACTCCTTTGTGATGTGTGCGTTCAACTCACAGAGTTTAACCTTTCTTTTCACAGAGCAGTTAGGAAACACTCTGTTTGTGAAGCCTGCCAGTGGATAATCGGACCTCTTTGAGGCCTTCGTTGGAAACGGGATTTCTTCATATTATGCTAGACAGAAGATTTCTCAGTAACTTCTTTGTGTTGTGTGTATGCAACTTACAGAGTTCAACCTTCCTTTAGAGAGAGCATATTTGAAACACTCTTTTTGTGGAATTTGCAAGTGGAGATTTCAAGCGCTTCGATGCAAATGGTAGAAAAGGAAATATCTTCGTAGAAAAACAAGACAAACTCGTTCCCAGACACTGCGTAGTGATGTGTGTGTTTAACTCACAGAGTTTAACCTTTCTTTTCATACAGCATTCTGGAAACCCTGTGTTTGTAAAGTCTGCAAGTGGATATTTGGACCTTTTAGATGCCTTCGTTGGAAACGGGATTTCTTCATATAATGCTAGAGGGAAGAATTCTTAGTAACTTCTTTGTGTTGTGTGTATTCAACTGACAGAGTTGAACCTTCCTTTAGACAGAGCAGATTTGAAAGTCTCTTTTTGTGGAATTTGCAAGTGGAGATTTCAAGCGCTTTGAGGCCAAAAGCAGAAAAGGAAATATTTTCCTATAAAAACTAGACAGAATCATTCTCAGAAACTGCTCTGTGATGTGTGCGTTCAACTCACAGAGTTTAACTTTTCTTTTCATTCAGCAGTTTGGAAACACTGTTTGGAAAGTCTGCACGTGGATATTTTGACCTCTTTGAGGCCTTCGTTGGAAACGGGTTTTTTTCATGTAAGGCTAGACAGAAGAAATCTCAGTAACTTCCTTGTGTTGTGTGTATTCAACTGACAGAGTTGAACCTTCCTTTAGACAGAGCAGATTCGAAACACTCTTTTTCTGCAATTTGCAAGTGGAGACTTCAAGCGCTTTGAGGCCAAAGGCAGAAAAGGAAATATCTTCGTAGAAAAACCCGACAGAATCATTCTCAGAAACTGCTCTGTGATGTGTGCGTTCAACTCACAGAGTTTAACTTTTCTTTTCATTCAGCAGTTTGGAAACACTCTGTTTGTAAAGTCTGCAAGTGGATATCTTGGCCTCTTAGAGGCCTTCGTTGGAAACGGGTTTTTTCATGTAAGGTTAGACAGAGGAATTCCCAGTAACTTCCTTGTGTTGTGTGCATTCAACTCACAGAGTTGAATGATTCTTTACACAGAGCAGATTTGAGACACTCTTTTGGTGGAATTTGTAAGTGGAGAATTCAGCCGCTTTGAGGTCAACGGTAGAAAAGGAAATATCTTCGTATAAAAACTAGACAGAATGATTCTCAGAAACTGTTTTGTGATGTGTGCGTTCAACTCACAGAGTTTAACCTTTCTTTTGAAAGAGCAGTTAGGAAACACTCTGTTTGTAAAGTCTGCAAGTGGATATTCAGACCTCTTTGAGGCCTTCGTTGGAAACGGGATTTCTTCATATTATGCTAGACAGATGAATTCTCAGTAACTTCCTTGTGTTGTGTGTATTCAACTCACAGAGTTGAACGATCCTTTACACAGAGCAGATTTGAAACACTGTTTTTCTGGAATTTGCAAGTGGAGATTTCAGCCGCTTTGAGGTCAATGGTAGAAAAAGAAATATCTTCGTATAAAAACTAGACAGAGTGATTCTCAGAAACTCCTTTGTGATGTGTGCGTTCAACTCACAGAGTTTAACCTTTCTTTTCACAGAGCAGTTAGGAAACACTCTGTTTGTGAAGCCTGCCAGTGGATATTCGGACCTCTTTGAGGCCTTCGTTGGAAACGGGATTTCTTCATATTATGCTAGACAGAAGATTTCTCAGTAACTTCTTTGTGTTGTGTGTATGCAACTCACAGAGTTCAACCTTCCTTTAGACAGAGCAGATTTGAAACACTCTTTTTGTGGAATTTGCAAGTGGAGATTTCAAGCGCTTCGATGCCAATGGTAGAAAAGGAAATATCTTCGTATAAAAACAAGACAAACTCGTTCCCAGACACTGCGTAGTGATGTGTGTGTTTAACTCACAGAGTTTAACCTTTCTTTTCATACAGCATTCTGGAAACCCTGTGTTTGTAAAGTCTGCAAGTGGATATTTGGACCTCTTAGATGCCTTCGTTGGAAACGGGATTTCTTCATATAATGCTAGAGGGAAGAATTCTTAGTAACTTCTTTGTGTTGTGTGTATTCAACTGACAGAGTTGAACCTTCCTTTAGACAGAGCAGATTTGAAAGTCTCTTTTTGTGGAATTTGCAAGTGGAGATTTCAAGCGCTTTGAGGGCAAAAGCAGAAAAGGAAATATTTTCCTATAAAAACTAGACAGAATCTTTCTCAGAAACTGCTCTGGGATGTGTGCGTTCAACTCACAGAGTTTAACTTTTCTTTTCATTCAGCAGTTTGGAAACACTCTGTTTGGAAAGTCTGCACGTGGATATTTTGACCTCTTTGAGGCCTTCGTTGGAAACGGGTTTTTTTCATGTAAGGCTAGACAGAAGAAATCTCAGTAACTTCCTTGTGTTGTGTGTATTCAACTGACAGAGTTGAACCTTCCTTTAGACAGAGCAGATTCGAAACACTCTTTTTCTGCAATTTGCAAGTGGAGACTTCAAGCGCTTTGAGGCCAAAGGCAGAAAAGGAAATATCTTCGTATAAAAACCCGACAGAATCATTCTCAGAAACTGCTCTGTGATGTGTGCGTTCAACTCACAGAGTTTAACTTTTCTTTTCATTCAGCAGTTTGGAAACACTCTGTTTGTAAGGTCTGCAAGTGGATATCTTGGCCTCTTAGAGGCCTTCGTTGGAAACGGGTTTTTTCATGTAAGTTTAGACAGAGGAATTCCCAGTAACTTCCTTGTGTTGTGTGCATTCAACTCACAGAGTTGAATGATTCTTTACACAGAGCAGATTTGAGACACTCTTTTGGTGGAATTTGTAAGTGGAGAATTCAGCCGCTTTGAGGTCAACGGTAGAAAAGGAAATATCTTCGTATAAAAACTAGACAGAATGATTCTCAGAAACTGTTTTGTGATGTGTGCGTTCAACTCACAGAGTTTAACCTTTCTTTTCAAAGAGCAGTTAGGAAACACTCTGTTTGTAAAGTCTGCAAGTGGATATTCAGACCTCTTTGAGGCCTTCGTTGGAAACGGGATTTCTTCATATTATGCTAGACAGATGAATTCTCAGTAACTTCCTTGTGTTGTGTGTATTCAACTCACAGAGTTGAACGATCCTTTACACAGAGCAGATTTGAAACACTGTTTTTCTGGAATTTGCAAGTGGAGATTTCAGCCGCTTTGAGGTCAATGGTAGAAAAGGAAATATCTTCGTATAAAAACTAGACAGAATGATTCTCAGAAACTCCTTTGTGATGTGTGCGTTCAACTCACAGAGTTTAACCTTTCTTTTCACAGAGCAGTTAGGAAACACTCTGTTTGTGAAGCCTGCCAGTGGATATTCGGACCTCTTTGAGGCCTTCGTTGGAAACGGGATTTCTTCGTATTATGCTAGACAGAAGATTTCTCAGTAACTTCTTTGTGTTGTGTGTATGCAACTCACAGAGTTCAACCTTCCTTTAGACAGAGCAGATTTGAAACACTCTTTTTGTGGAATTTGCAAGTGGAGATTTCAAGCGCTTCGATGCCAATGGTAGAAAAGGAAATATCTTCGTATAAAAACAAGACAAACTCGTTCCCAGACACTGCGTAGTGATGTGTGTGTTTAACTCACTGAGTTTAACCTTTCTTTTCATACAGCATTCTGGAAACCCTGTGTTTGTAAAGTCTGCAAGTGGATATTTGGACCTCTTAGATGCCTTCGTTGGAAACGGGATTTCTTCGTATAATGCTAGAGGGAAGAATTCTTAGTAACTTCTTTGTGTTGTGTGTATTCAACTGACAGAGTTGAACCTTCCTTTAGACAGAGCAGATTTGAAAGTCTCTTTTTGTGGAATTTGCAAGTGGAGATTTCAAGCGCTTTGAGGCCAAAAGCAGAAAAGGAAATATTTTCCTATAAAAACTCGACAGAATCTTTCTCAGAAACTGCTCTGGGATGTGTGCGTTCAACTCACAGAGTTTAACTTTTCTTTTCATTCAGCAGTTTGGAAACACTCTGTTTGGAAAGTCTGCACGTGGATATTTTGACCTCTTTGAGGCCTTCGTTGGAAACGGGTTTTTTTCATGTAAGGCTAGACAGAAGAAATCTCAGTAACTTCCTTGTGTTGTGTGTATTCAACTGACAGAGTTGAACCTTCCTTTAGACAGAGCAGATTCGAAACACTCTTTTTCTGCAATTTGCAAGTGGAGACTTCAAGCGCTTTGAGGCCAAAGGCAGAAAAGGAAATATCTTCGTATAAAAACCCGACAGAATCATTCTCAGAAACTGCTCTGTGATGTGTGCGTTCAACTCACAGAGTTTAACTTTTCTTTTCATTCAGCAGTTTGGAAACACTCTGTTTGTAAAGTCTGCAAGTGGATATCTTGGCCTCTTAGAGGCCTTCGTTGGAAACGGGTTTTTTCATGTAAGGATACACACAGGAATTCCCCAGTAACTTCCTTGTGTTGTGTGCATTCAACTCACAGAGTTGAATGATTCTTTACACAGAGCAGATTTGAGACACTCTTTTGGTGGAATTTGTAAGTGGAGAATTCAGCCGCTTTGAGGTCAACGGTAGAAAAGGAAATATCTTCGTATAAAAACTAGACAGAATGATTCTCAGAAACTGTTTTGTGATGTGTGCGTTCAACTCACAGAGTTTAACCTTTCTTTTCAAAGAGCAGTTAGGAAACACTCTGTTTGTAAAGTCTGCAAGTGGATATTCAGACCTCTTTGAGGCCTTCGTTGGAAACGGGATTTCTTCATATTATGCTAGACAGATGAATTCTCAGTAACTTCCTTGTGTTGTGTGTATTCAACTCACAGAGTTGAACGATCCTTTACACAGAGCAGATTTGAAACACTGTTTTTCTGGAATTTGCAAGTGGAGATTTCAGCCGCTTTGAGGTCAATGGTAGAAAAGGAAATATCTTCGTATAAAAACTAGACAGAATGATTCTCAGAAACTCCTTTGTGATGTGTGCGTTCAACTCACAGAGTTTAACCTTTCTTTTCACAGAGCAGTTAGGAAACACTCTGTTTGTGAAGCCTGCCAGTGGATATTCGGACCTCTTTGAGGCCTTCGTTGGAAACGGGATTTCTTCATATTATGCTAGACAGAAGATTTCTCAGTAACTTCTTTGTGTTGTGTGTATACAACTCACAGAGTTCAACCTTCCTTTAGACAGCGCAGATTTGAAACACTCTTTTTGTGGAATTTGCAAGTGGAGATTTCAAGCGCTTCGATGCCAATGGTAGAAAAGGAAATATCTTCGTATAAAAACAAGACAAACTCGTTCCCAGACACTGCGTAGTGATGTGTGTGTTTAACTCACAGAGTTTCACCTTTCTTTTCATACAGCATTCTGGAAACCCTGTGTTTGTAAAGTCTGCAAGTGGATATTTGGACCTCTTAGATGCCTTCGTTGGAAACGGGATTTCTTCATATAATGCTAGAGGGAAGAATTCTTAGTAACTTCTTTGTGTTGTGTGTATTCAACTGACAGAGTTGAACCTTCCTTTAGACAGAGCAGATTTGAAAGTCTCTTTTTGTGGAATTTGCAAGTGGAGATTTCAAGCGCTTTGAGGCCAAAAGCAGAAAAGGAAATATTTTCCTATAAAAACTCGACAGAATCTTTCTCAGAAACTGCTCTGGGATGTGTGCGTTCAACTCACAGAGTTTAACTTTTCTTTTCATTCAGCAGTTTGGAAACACTCTGTTTGGAAAGTCTGCACGTGGATATTTTGACCTCTTTGAGGCCTTCGTTGGAAACGGGTTTTTTTCATGTAAGGCTAGACAGAAGAAATCTCAGTAACTTCCTTGTGTTGTGTGTATTCAACTGACAGAGTTGAACCTTCCTTTAGACAGAGCAGATTCGAAACACTCTTTTTCTGCAATTTGCAAGTGGAGACTTCAAGCGCTTTGAGGCCAAAGGCAGAAAAGGAAATATCTTCGTATAAAAACCCGACAGAATCATTCTCAGAAACTGCTCTGTGATGTGTGCGTTCAACTCACAGAGTTTAACTTTTCTTTTCATTCAGCAGTTTGGAAACACTCTGTTTGTAAAGTCTGCAAGTGGATATCTTGGCCTCTTAGAGGCCTTCGTTGGAAGCGGGTTTTTTCATGTAAGGTTAGACAGAGGAATTCCCACTAACTTCCTTGTGTTGTGTGCATTCAACTCACAGAGTTGAATGATTCTTTACACAGAGCAGATTTGAGACACTCTTTTGGTGGAATTTGTAAGTGGAGAATTCAGCCGCTTTGATGTCAACGGTAGAAAAGGAAATATCTTCGTATAAAAACTAGACAGAATGATTCTCAGAAACTGTTTTGTGATGTGTGCGTTCAACTCACAGAGTTTAACCTTTCTTTTCAAAGAGCAGTTAGGAAACACTCTGTTTGTAAAGTCTGCAAGTGGATATTCAGACCTCTTTGAGGCCTTCGTTGGAAACGGGATTTCTTCATATTATGCTAGACAGATGAATTCTCAGTAACTTCCTTGTGTTGTGTGTATTCAACTCACAGAGTTGAACGATCCTTTACACAGAGCAGATTTGAAACACTGTTTTTCTGGAATTTGCAAGTGGAGATGTCAGCCGCTTTGAGGTCAATGGTAGAAAAGGAAATATCTTCGTATAAAAACTAGACAGAATGATTCTCAGAAACTCCTTTGTGATGTGTGCGTTCAACTCACAGAGTTTAACCTTTCTTTTCATACAGCATTCTGGAAACCCTCTGTTTGTAAAGTCTGCAAGTGGATATTTGGACCTCTTAGATGCCTTCGTTGGAAACGGGATTTCTTCATATAATGCTAGAGGGAAGAATTCTTAGTAACTTCTTTGTGTTGTGTGTATTCAACTGACAGAGTTGAACCTTCCTTTAGACAGAGCAGATTCGAAACACTCTTTTTCTGCAATTTGCAAGTGGAGACTTCAAGCGCTTTGAGGCCAAAGGCAGAAAAGGAAATATCTTCGTATAAAAACCCGACAGAATCATTCTCAGAAACTGCTCTGTGATGTGTGCGTTCAACTCACAGAGTTTAACTTTTCTTTTCATTCAGGAGTTTGGAAACACTCTGTTTGTAAAGTCTGCAAGTGGATATCTTGGCCTCTTAGAGGCCTTCGTTGGAAACGGGTTTTTTCATGTAAGGTTAGACAGAGGAATTCCCAGTAACTTCCTTGTGTTGTGTGCATTCAACTCACAGAGTTGAATGATTCTTTACACAGAGCAGATTTGAGACACTCTTTTGGTGGAATTTGTAAGTGGAGAATTCAGCCGCTTTGAGGTCAACGGTAGAAAAGGAAATATCTTCGTATAAAAACTAGACAGAATGATTCTCAGAAACTGTTTTGTGATGTGTGCGTTCAACTCACACAGTTTAACCTTTCTTTTCAGAGAGCAGTTAGGAAACACTCTGTTTGTAAAGTCTGCAAGTGGATATTCAGACCTCTTTGAGGCCTTCGTTGGAAACGGGTTTTCTTCATATTATGCTAGACAGATGAATTCTCAGTAACTTCCTTGTGTTGTGTGTATTCAACTCACAGAGTTGAACGATCCTTTACACAGAGCAGATTTGAAACACTGTTTTTCTGGAATTTGTAAGTGGAGATTTCAGCCGCTTTGAGGTCAATGGTAGAAAAGGAAATATCTTCGTATAAAAACTAGTCAGAATGATTCTCAGAAACTCCTTTGTGATGTGTGCGTTCAACTCACAGAGTTTAACCTTTCTTTTCACAGAGCAGTTAGGAAACACTCTGTTTGTGAAGCCTGCCATTGGATATTCGGACCTCTTTGAGGCCTTCGTTGGAAACGGGATTTCTTCATATTATGCTAGACAGAAGATTTCTCAGTAACTTCTTTGTGTTGTGTGTATGCAACTCACAGAGTTCAACCTTCCTTTAGACAGAGCAGATTTGAAACACTCTTTTTGTGGAATTTGCAAGTGGAGATTTCAAGCGCTTCGATGCCAATGGTAGAAAAGGAAATATCTTCGTATAAAAACAAGACAAACTCGTTCCCAGACACTGCGTAGTGATGTGTGTGTTTAACTCACAGAGTTTAACCTTTCTTTTCATACAGCATTCTGGAAACCCTCTGTTTGTAAAGTCTGCAAGTGGATATTTGGACCTCTTAGATGCCTTCGTTGGAAACGGGATTTCTTCATATAATGCTAGAGGGAAGAATTCTTAGTCACTTCTTTGTGTTGTGTGTATTCAACTGACAGAGTTGAACCTTCCTTTAGACAGAGCAGATTTGAAAGTCTCTTTTTGTGGAATTTGCAAGTGGAGATTTCAAGCGCTTTGAGGCCAAAAGCAGAAAAGGAAATATTTTCCTATAAAAACTAGACAGAATCATTCTCAGAAACTGCTCTGTGATGTGTGTGTTCAACTCACAGAGTTTAACTTTCTTTTCATTCAGCAGTTTGGAAACACTCTGTTTGGAAAGTCTGCACGTGGATATTTTGACCTCTTTGAGGCCTTCGTTGGAAACGGGTTTTTTTCATGTAAGGCTAGACAGAAGAAATCTCAGTAACTTCCTTGTGTTGTGTGTATTCAACTGACAGAGTTGAACCTTCCTTTAGACAGAGCAGATTCGAAACGCTCTTTTTCTGCAATTTGCAAGTGGAGACTTCAAGCGCTTTGCGGCCAAAGGCAGAAAAGGAAATATCTTCGTATAAAAACCCGACAGAATCATTCTCAGAAACTGCTCTGTGATGTGTGCGTTCAACTCACAGAGTTTAACTTTTCTTTTCATTCAGCAGTTTGGAAACACTCTGTTTGTAAAGTCTGCAAGTGGATATCTTGGCCTCTTAGAGGCCTTCGTTGGAAACGCGTTTTTTCATGTAAGGTTAGACAGAGGAATTCCCAGTAACTTCCTTGTGTTGTGTGCATTCAACTCACAGAGTTGAATGATTCTTTACACAGAGCAGATTTGAGACACTCTTTTGGTGGAATTTGTAAGTGGAGAATTCAGCCGCTTTGAGGTCAACGGTAGAAAAGGAAATATCTTCGTATAAAAACTAGACAGAATGATTCTCAGAAACTGTTTTGTGATGTGTGCTTTCAACTCACAGAGTTTAACCTTTCTTTTCAAAGAGCAGTTAGGAAACACTCTGTTTGTAAAGTCTGCAAGTGGATATTCAGACCTCTTTGAGGCCTTCGTTGGAAACGGGATTTCTTCATATTATGCTAGACAGAAGATTTCTCAGTAACTTCTTTGTGTTGTGTGTATGCAACTCACAGAGTTCAACCTTCCTTTAGACAGAGCAGATTTGAAACACTCTTTTTGTGGAATTTGCAAGTGGAGATTTCAAGCGCTTCGATGCCAATGGTAGAAAAGGAAATATCTTCGTATAAAAACAAGACAAACTCGTTCCCAGACACTGCGTAGTGATGTGTGTGTTTAACTCACAGAGTTTCACCTTTCTTTTCATACAGCATTCTGGAAACCCTGTGTTTGTAAAGTCTGCAAGTGGATATTTGGACCTCTTAGATGCCTTCGTTGGAAACGGGATTTCTTCATATAATGCTAGAGGGAAGAATTCTTAGTAACTTCTTTGTGTTGTGTGTATTCAACTGACAGAGTTGAACCTTCCTTTAGACAGAGCAGATTTGAAAGTCTCTTTTTGTGGAATTTGCAAGTGGAGATTTCAAGCGCTTTGAGGCCAAAAGCAGAAAAGGAAATATTTTCCTATAAAAACTAGACAGAATCTTTCTCAGAAACTGCTCTGGGATGTGTGCGTTCAACTCACAGAGTTTAACTTTTCTTTTCATTCAGCAGTTTGGAAACACTCTGTTTGGAAAGTCTGCACGTGGATATTTTGACCTCTTTGAGGCCTTCGTTGGAAACGGGTTTTTTTCATGTAAGGCTAGACAGAAGAAATCTCAGTAACTTCCTTGTGTTGTGTGTATTCAACTGACAGAGTTGAACCTTCCTTTAGACAGAGCAGATTCGAAACACTCTTTTTCTGCAATTTGCAAGTGGAGACTTCAAGCGCTTTGAGGCCAAAGGCAGAAAAGGAAATATCTTCGTATAAAAACCCGACAGAATCATTCTCAGAAACTGCTCTGTGATGTCTGCGTTCAACTCACAGAGTTTAACTTTTCTTTTCATTCAGCAGTTTGGAAACACTCTGTTTGTAAAGTCTGCAAGTGGATATCTTGGCCTCTTAGAGGCCTTCGTTGGAAACGGGTTTTTTCATGTAAGGATAGACAGAGGAATTCCCAGTAACTTCCTTGTGTTGTGTGCATTCAACTCACAGAGTTGAATGATTCTTTACACAGAGCAGATTTGAGACACTCTTTTGGTGGAATTTGTAAGTGGAGAATTCAGCCGCTTTGAGGTCAACGGTAGAAAAGGAAATATCTTCGTATAAAAACTAGACAGAATGATTCTCAGAAACTGTTTTGTGATGTGTGCGTTCAACTCACAGAGTTTAACCTTTCTTTTCAGAGAGCAGTTAGGAAACACTCTGTTTGTAAAGTCTGCATGTGGATATTCAGACCTCTTTGAGGCCTTCGTTGGAAACGGGATTTCTTCATATTATGCTAGACAGATGAATTCTCAGTAACTTCCTTGTGTTGTGTGTATTCAACTCACAGAGTTGAACGATCCTTTACACAGAGCAGATTTGAAACACTGTTTTTCTGGAATTTGCAAGTGGAGATTTCAGCCGCTTTGAGGTCAATGGTAGAAAAGGAAATATCTTCGTATAAAAACTAGACAGAATGATTCTCAGAAACTCCTTTGTGATGTGTGCGTTCAACTCACAGAGTTTAACCTTTCTTTTCACAGAGCAGTTAGGAAACACTCTGTTTGTGAAGCCTGCCAGTGGATATTCGGACCTCTTTGAGGCCTTCGTTGGAAACGGGATTTCTTCATATTATGCTAGACAGAAGATTTCTCAGTAACTTCTTTGTGTTGTGTGTATGCAACTCACAGAGTTCAACCTTCCTTTAGACAGAGCAGATTTGAAACACTCTTTTTGTGGAATTTGCAAGTGGAGATTTCAAGCGCTTCGATGCCAATGGTAGAAAAGGAAATATCTTCGTATAAAAACAAGACAAACTCGTTCCCAGACACTGCGTAGTGATGTGTGTGTTTAACTCACAGAGTTTAACCTTTCTTTTCATACAGCATTCTGGAAACCCTCTGTTTGTAAAGTCTGCAAGTGGATATTTGGACCTCTTAGATGCCTTCGTTAGAAACGGGATTTCTTCATATAATGCTAGAGGGAAGAATTCTTAGTAACTTCTTTGTGTTGTGTGTATTCAACTGACAGAGTTGAACCTTCCTTTAGACAGAGCAGATTTGAAAGTCTCTTTTTGTGGAATTTGCAAGTGGAGATTTCAAGCGCTTTGAGGCCAAAAGCAGAAAAGGAAATATTTTCCTATAAAAACTAGACAGAATCTTTCTCAGAAACTGCTCTGGGATGTGTGCGTTCAACTCACAGAGTTTAACTTTTCTTTTCATTCAGCAGTTTGGAAACACTCTGTTTGGAAAGTCTGCACGTGGATATTTTGACCTCTTTGAGGCCTTCGTTGGAAACGGGTTTTTTTCATGTAACGCTAGACAGAAGAAATCTCAGTAACTTCCTTGTGTTGTGTGTATTCAACTGACAGAGTTGAACCTTCCTTTAGACAGAGCAGATTCGAAACACTCTTTTTCTGCAATTTGCAAGTGGAGACTTCAAGCGCTTTGAGGCCAAAGGCAGAAAAGGAAATATCTTCGTATAAAAACCCGACAGAATCATTCTCAGAAACTGCTCTGTGATGTGTGCGTTCAACTCACAGAGTTTAACTTTTCTTTTCATTCAGCAGTTTGGAAACACTCTGTTTGTAAAGTCTGCAAGTGGATATCTTGGCCTCTTAGAGGCCTTCGTTGGAAACGGGTTTTTTCATGTAAGGTTAGACAGAGGAATTCCCAGTAACTTCCTTGTGTTGTGTGCATTCAACTCACAGAGTTGAATGATTCTTTACACAGAGCAGATTTGAGACACTCTTTTGGTGGAATTTGTAAGTGGAGAATTCAGCCGCTTTGAGGTCAACGGTAGAAAAGGAAATATCTTCGTATAAAAACTAGACAGAATGATTCTCAGAAACTGTTTTGTGATGTGTGCTTTCAACTCACAGAGTTTAACCTTTCTTTTCAAAGAGCAGTTAGGAAACACTCTGTTTGTAAAGTCTGCAAGTGGATATTCAGACCTCTTTGAGGCCTTCGTTGGAAACGGGATTTCTTCATATTATGCTAGACAGATGAATTCTCAGTAACTTCCTTGTGTTGTGTGTATTCAACTCACAGAGTTGAACGATCCTTTACACAGAGCAGATTTGAAACACTGTTTTTCTGGAATTTGCAAGTGGAGATTTCAGCCGCTTTGAGGTCAATGGTAGAAAAGGAAATATCTTCGTATAAAAACTAGACAGAATGATTCTCAGAAACTCCTTTGTGATGTGTGCGTTCAACTCACAGAGTTTAACCTTTCTTTTCACAGAGCAGTTAGGAAACACTCTGTTTGTGAAGCCTGCCAGTGGATATTCGGACCTCTTTGAGGCCTTCGTTGGAAACGGGATTTCTTCATATTATGCTAGACAGAAGATTTCTCAGTAACTTCTTTGTGTTGTGTGTATACAACTCACAGAGTTCAACCTTCCTTTAGACAGCGCAGATTTGAAACACTCTTTTTGTGGAATTTGCAAGTGGAGATTTCAAGCGCTTCGATGCCAATGGTAGAAAAGGAAATATCTTCGTATAAAAACAAGACAAAATCATTCCCAGAAACTACGTAGTGATGTGTGTGTTTAACTCACAGACTTTAACCTTTCTTTTCATACAGCATTCTGGAAACCCTCTGTTTGTAAAGTCTGCAAGTGGATATTTGGACCTCTTAGATGCCTTCGTTGGAAACGGGATTTCTTCATATAATGCTAGAGGGAAGAATTCCTTAGTAACTTCTTTGTGTTGTGTGTATTCAACTGACAGAGTTGAACCTTCCTTTAGACAGAGCAGATTTGAAAGTCTCTTTTTGTGGAATTTGCAAGTGGAGATTTCAAGCGCTTTGAGGCCAAAAGCAGAAAAGGAAATGTTTTCCTATAAAAACTAGACAGAATCTTTCTCAGAAACTGCTCTGGGATGTGTGCGTTCAACTCACAGAGTTTAACTTTTCTTTTCATTCAGCAGTTTGGAAACACTCTGTTTGGAAAGTCTGCACGTGGATATTTTGACCTCTTTGAGGCCTTCGTTGGAAACGGGTTTTTTTCATGTAAGGCTAGACAGAAGAAATCTCAGTAACTTCCTTGTGTTGTGTGTATTCAACTGACAGAGTTGAACCTTCCTTTAGACAGAGCAGATTCGAAACACTCTTTTTCTGCAATTTGCAAGTGGAGACTTCAAGCGCTTTGAGGCCAAAGGCAGAAAAGGAAATATCTTCGTATAAAAACCCGACAGAATCATTCTCAGAAACTGCTCTGTGATGTGTGCGTTCAACTCACAGAGTTTAACTTTTCTTTTCATTCAGCAGTTTGGAAACACTCTGTTTGTAAAGTCTGCAAGTGGATATCTTGGCCTCTTAGAGGCCTTCGTTGGAAACGGGTTTTTTCATGTAAGGTTAGACAGAGGAATTCCCAGTAACTTCCTTGTGTTGTATGCATTCAACTCACAGAGTTGAATGATTCTTTACACAGAGCAGATTTGAGACACTCTTTTGGTGGAATTTGTAAGTGGAGAATTCAGCCGCTTTGAGGTCAACGGTAGAAAAGGAAATATCTTCGTATAAAAACTAGAAAGAATGATTCTCAGAAACTGTTTTGTGATGTGTGCTTTCAACTCACAGAGTTTAACCTTTCTTTTCAAAGAGCAGTTAGGAAACACTCTGTTTGTAAAGTCTGCAAGTGGATATTCAGACCTCTTTGAGGCCTTCGTTGGAAACGGGATTTCTTCATATTATGCTAGACAGATGAATTCTCAGTAACTTCCTTGTGTTGTGTGTATTCAACTCACAGAGTTGAACGATCCTTTACACAGAGCAGATTTGAAACACTGTTTTTCTGGAATTTGCAAGTGGAGATTTCAGCCGCTTTGAGGTCAATGGTAGAAAAGGAAATATCTTCGTATAAAAACTAGACAGAATGATTCTCAGAAACTCCTTTGTGATGTGTGCGTTCAACTCACAGAGTTTAACCTTTCTTTTCACAGAGCAGTTAGGAAACACTCTGTTTGTGAAGCCTGCCAGTGGATATTCGGACCTCTTTGAGGCCTTCGTTGGAAACGGGATTTCTTCATATTATGCTAGACAGAAGATTTCTCAGTAACTTCTTTGTGTTGTGTGTATGCAACTCACAGAGTTCAACCTTCCTTTAGACAGAGAAGATTTGAAACACTCTTTTTGTGGAATTTGCAAGTGGAGATTTCAAGCGCTTCGATGCCAATGGTAGAAAAGGAAATATCTTCGTATAAAAACAAGACAAACTCGTTCCCAGACACTGCGTAGTGATGTGTGTGTTTAACTCACAGAGTTTAACCTTTCTTTTCATACAGCATTCTGGAAACCCTCTGTTTGTAAAGTCTGCAAGTGGATATTTGGACCTCTTAGATGCCTTCGTTGGAAACGGGATTTCTTCATATAATGCTAGAGGGAAGAATTCTTAGTAACTTCTTTGTGTTGTGTGTATTCAACTGACAGAGTTGAACCTTCCTTTAGACAGAGCAGATTTGAAAGTCTCTTTTGGTGGAATTTGCAAGTGGAGATTTCAAGCGCTTTGAGGCCAAAAGCAGAAAAGGAAATATTTTCTTATAAAAACTAGACAGAATCTTTCTCAGAAACTGCTCTGTGATGTGTGCGTTCAACTCACAGAGTTTAACTTTTCTTTTCATTCAGCAGTTTGGAAACACTCTGTTTGGAAAGTCTGCACGTGGATATTTTGACCTCTTTGAGGCCTTCGTTGGAAACGGGTTTTTTTCATGTAAGGCTAGACAGAAGAAATCTCAGTAACTTCCTTGTGTTGTGTGTATTCAACTGACAGAGTTGAACCTTCCTTTAGACAGAGCAGATTCGAAACACTCTTTTTCTGCAATTTGCAAGTGGAGACTTCAAGCGCTTTGAGGCCAAAGGCAGAAAAGGAAATATCTTCGTATAAAAACCCGACAGAATCATTCTCAGAAACTGCTCTGTGATGTGTGCGTTCAACTCACAGAGTTTAACTTTTCTTTTCATTCAGCAGTTTGGAAACACTCTGTTTGTAAAGTCTGCAAGTGGATATCTTGGCCTCTTAGAGGCCTTCGTTGGAAACGGGTTTTTTCATGTAAGGTTAGACAGAGGAATTCCCAGTAACTTCCTTGTGTTGTGTGCATTCAACTCACAGAGTTGAATGATTCTTTACACAGAGCAGATTTGAGACACTCTTTTGGTGGAATTTGTAAGTGGAGAATTCAGCCGCTTTGAGGTCAACGGTAGAAAAGGAAATATCTTCGTATAAAAACTAGACAGAATGATTCTCAGAAACTGTTTTGTGATGTGTGCGTTCAACTCACAGAGTTTAACCTTTCTTTTCAAAGAGCAGTTAGGAAACACTCTGTTTGTAAAGTCTGCAAGTGGATATTCAGACCTCTTTGAGGCCTTCGTTGGAAACGGGATTTCTTCATATTATGCTAGACAGATGAATTCTCAGTAACTTCCTTGTGTTGTGTGTATTCAACTCACAGAGTTGAACGATCCTTTACACAGAGCAGATTTGAAACACTGTTTTTCTGGAATTTGCAAGTGGAGATTTCAGCCGCTTTGAGGTCAATGGTAGAAAAGGAAATATCTTCGTATAAAAACTAGACAGAATGATTCTCAGAAACTCCTTTGTGATGTGTGCGTTCAACTCACAGGGTTTAACCTTTCTTTTCACAGAGCAGTTAGGAAACACTCTGTTTGTGAAGCCTGCCAGTGGATATTCGGACCTCTTTCAGGCCTTCGTTGGAAACGGGATTTCTTCATATTATGCTAGACAGAAGATTTCTCAGTAACTTCTTTGTGTTGTGTGTATGCAACTCACAGAGTTCAACCTTCCTTTAGACAGAGCAGATTTGAAACACTCTTTTTGTGGAATTTGCAAGTGGAGATTTCAAGCGCTTCGATGCCAATGGTAGAAAAGGAAATATCTTCGTATAAAAACAAGACAAACTCGTTCCCAGACACTGCGTAGTGATGTGTGTGTTTAACTCACAGAGTTTAACCTTTCTTTTCATACAGCATTCTGGAAACCCTCTGTTTGTAAAGTCTGCAAGTGGATATTTGGACCTCTTAGATGCCTTCGTTGGAAACGGGATTTCTTCATATAATGCTAGAGGGAAGAATTCTTAGTAACTTCTTTGTGTTGTGTGTATTCAACTGACAGAGTTGAACCTTCCTTTAGACAGAGCAGATTTGAAAGTCTCTTTTTGTGGAATTTGCAAGTGGAGATTTCAAGTGCTTTGAGGCCAAAAGCAGAAAAGGAAATATTTTCCTATAAAAACTAGACAGAATCATTCTCAGAAACTGCTCTGTGATGTGTGTGTTCAACTCACAGAGTTTAACTTTCTTTTCATTCAGCAGTTTGGAAACACTCTGTTTGGAAAGTCTGCACGTGGATATTTTGACCTCTTTGAGGCCTTCGTTGGAAACGGGTTTTTTTCATGTAAGGCTAGACAGAAGAAATCTCAGTAACTTCCTTGTGTTGTGTGTATTCAACTGACAGAGTTGAACCTTCCTTTAGACAGAGCAGATTCGAAACACTCTTTTTCTGCAATTTGCAAGTGGAGACTTCAAGCGCTTTGAGGCCAAAGGCAGAAAAGGAAATATCTTCGTATAAAAACCCGACAGAATCATTCTCAGAAACTGCTCTGTGATGTGTGCGTTCAACTCACAGAGTTTAACTTTTCTTTTCATTCAGCAGTTTGGAAACACTCTGTTTGTAAAGTCTGCAAGTGGATATCTTGGCCTCTTAGAGGCCTTCGTTGGAAACGGGTTTTTTCATGTAAGGTTAGACAGAGGAATTCCCAGTAACTTCCTTGTGTTGTGTGCATTCAACTCACAGAGTTGAATGATTCTTTACACAGAGCAGATTTGAGACACTCTTTTGGTGGAATTTGTAAGTGGAGAATTCAGCCGCTTTGAGGTCAACGGTAGAAAAGGAAATATCTTCGTATAAAAACTAGACAGAAATGATTCTCAGAAACTGTTTTGTGATGTGTGCGTTCAACTCACAGAGTTTAACCTTTCTTTTCAAAGAGCAGTTAGGAAACACTCTGTTTGTAAAGTCTGCAAGAGGATATTCAGACCTCTTTGAGGCCTTCGTTGGAAACGGGATTTCTTCATATTATGCTAGACAGATGAATTCTCAGTAACTTCCTTGTGTTGTGTGTATTCAACTCACAGAGTTGAACGATCCTTTACACAGAGCAGATTTGAAACACTGTTTTTCTGGAATTTGCAAGTGGAGATTTCAGCCGCTTTGAGGTCAATGGTAGAAAAGGAAATATCTTCGTATAAAAACTAGACAGAATGATTCTCAGAAACTCCTTTGTGATGTGTGCGTTCAACTCACAGAGTTTAACCTTTCTTTTCACAGAGCAGTTAGGAAACACTCTGTTTGTGAAGCCTGCCAGTGGATATTCGGACCTCTTTGAGGCCTTCGTTGGAAACGGGATTTCTTCATATTATGCTATTCAGAAGATTTCTCAGTAACTTCTTTGTGTTGTGTGTATGCAACTCACAGAGTTCAACCTTCCTTTAGACAGAGCAGATTTGAAACACTCTTTTTGTGGAATTTGCAAGTGGAGATTTCAAGCGCTTCGATGCCAATGGTAGAAAAGGAAATATCTTCGTAGAAAAACAAGACAAACTCGTTCCCAGACACTGCGTAGTGATGTGTGTGTTTAACTCACAGAGTTTAACCTTTCTTTTCATACAGCATTCTGGAAACCCTGTGTTTGTAAAGTCTGCAAGTGGATATTTGGACCTCTTAGATGCCTTCGTTGGAAACGGGATTTCTTCATATAATGCTAGAGGGAAGAATTCTTAGTAACTTCTTTGTGTTGTGTGTATTCAACTGACAGAGTTGAACCTTCCTTTAGACAGAGCAGATTTGAAAGTCTCTTTTTGTGGAATTTGCAAGTGGAGATTTCAAGCGCTTTGAGGCCAAAAGCAGAAAAGGAAATATTTTCCTATAAAAACTCGACAGAATCTTTCTCAGAAACTGCTCTGGGATGTGTGCGTTCAACTCACAGAGTTTAACTTTTCTTTTCATTCAGCAGTTTGGAAACACTCTGTTTGGAAAGTCTGCACGTGGATATTTTGACCTCTTTGAGGCCTTCGTTGGAAACGGGTTTTTTTCATGTAAGGCTAGACAGAAGAAATCTCAGTAACTTCCTTGTGTTGTGTGTATTCAACTGACAGAGTTGAACCTTCCTTTAGACAGAGCAGATTCGAAACACTCTTTTTCTGCAATTTGCAAGTGGAGACTTCAAGCGCTTTGAGGCCAAAGGCAGAAAAGGAAATATCTTCGTATAAAAACCCGACAGAATCATTCTCAGAAACTGCTCTGTGATGTGTGCGTTCAACTCACAGAGTTTAACTTTTCTTTTCATTCAGCAGTTTGGAAACACTCTGTTTGTAAAGTCTGCAAGTGGATATCTTGGCCTCTTAGAGGCCTTCGTTGGAAACGGGTTTTTTCATGTAAGGTTAGACAGAGGAATTCCCAGTAACTTCCTTGTGTTGTATGCATTCAACTCACAGAGTTGAATGATTCTTTACACAGAGCAGATTTGAGACACTCTTTTGGTGGAATTTGTAAGTGGAGAATTCAGCCGCTTTGAGGTCAACGGTAGAAAAGGAAATATCTTCGTATAAAAACTAGAAAGAATGATTCTCAGAAACTGTTTTGTGATGTGTGCGTTCAACTCACAGAGTTTAACCTTTCTTTTCAAAGAGCAGTTAGGAAACACTCTGTTTGTAAAGTCTGCAAGTGGATATTCAGACCTCTTTGAAGCCTTCGTTGGAAACGGGATTTCTTCATATTATGCTAGACAGATGAATTCTCAGTAACTTCCTTGTGTTGTGTGTATTCAACTCACAGAGTTGAACGATCCTTTACACAGAGCAGATTTGAAACACTGTTTTTCTGGAATTTGCAAGTGGAGATTTCAGCCGCTTTGAGGTCAATGGTAGAAAAGGAAATATCTTCGTATAAAAACTGGACAGAATGATTCTCAGAAACTCCTTTGTGATGTGTGCGTTCAACTCACAGAGTTTAACCTTTCTTTTCACAGAGCAGTTAGGAAACACTCTGTTTGTGAAGCCTGCCAGTGGATATTCGGACCCCTTTGAGGCCTTCGTTGGAAACGGGATTTCTTCATATTTTGCTAGACAGAAGATTTCTCAGTAACTTCTTTGTGTTGTGTGTATGCAACTCACAGAGTTCAACCTTCCTTTAGACAGAGCAGATTTGAAACACTCTTTTTGTGGAATTTGCAAGTGGAAATTTCAAGCGCTTCGATGCCAATGGTAGAAAAGGAAATATCTTCGTATAAAAACAAGACAAACTCGTTCCCAGACACTGCGTAGTGATGTGTGTGTTTAACTCACAGAGTTTCACCTTTCTTTTCATACAGCATTCTGGAAACCCTCTGTTTGTAAAGTCTGCAAGTGGATATTTGGACCTCTTAGATGCCTTCGTTGGAAACGGGATTTCCTCATATAATGCTAGAGGGAAGAATTCTTAGTAACTTCTTTGTGTTGTGTGTATTCAACTGACAGAGTTGAACCTTCCTTTAGACAGAGCAGATTTGAAAGTCTCTTTTTGTGGAATTTGCAAGTGGAGATTTCAAGCGCTTTGAGGCCAAAAGCAGAAAAGGAAATATTTTCCTATAAAAACTAGACAGAATCATTCTCAGAAACTGCTCTGTGATGTGTGCGTTCAACTCACAGAGTTTAACTTTTCTTTTCATTCAGCAGTTTGGAAACACTCTGTTAAGTCTGCAAGTGGATATCTTGGCCTCTTAGAGGCCTTCGTTGGAAACGGGTTTTTTCATGTAAGGTTAGACAGAAGGAATTCCCAGTAACTTCCTTGTGTTGTGTGCATTCAACTCACAGAGTTGAATGATTCTTTACACAGAGCAGTTTTGAGACACTCTTTTGGTGGAATTTGTAAGTGGAGAATTCAGCCGCTTTGAGGTCAACGGTAGAAAAGGAAATATCTTCGTATAAAAACTAGACAGAATGATTCTCAGAAACTGTTTTGTGATGTGTGCGTTCAACTCACAGAGTTTAACCTTTCTTTTCAAAGAGCAGTTAGGAAACACTCTGTAAAGTCTGCAAGTGGATATTCAGACCTCTTTGAGGCCTTCGTTGGAAACGGGATTTCTTCATATTATGCTAGACAGATGAATTCTCAGTAACTTCCTTGTGTTGTGTGTATTCAACTCACAGAGTTGAACGATCCTTTACACAGAGCAGATTTGAAACACTGTTTTTCTGGAATTTGCAAGTGGAGATTTCAGCCGCTTTGAGGTCAATGGTAGAAAAGGAAATATCTTCGTATAAAAACTAGACAGAATGATTCTCAGAAACTCCTTTGTGATGTGTGCGTTCAACTCACAGGGTTTAACCTTTCTTTTCACAGAGCAGTTAGGAAACACTCTGTTTGTGAAGCCTGCCAGTGGATATTCGGACCTCTTTGAGGCCTTCGTTGGAAACGGGATTTCTTCATATTATGCTAGACAGAAGATTTCTCAGTAACTTCTTTGTGTTGTGTGTATGCAACTCACAGAGTTCAACCTTCCTTTAGACAGAGCAGATTTGAAACACTCTTTTTGTGGAATTTGCAAGTGGAGATTTCAAGCGCTTCGATGCCAATGGTAGAAAAGGAAATATCTTCGTATAAAAACAAGACAAACTCGTTCCCAGACACTGCGTAGTGATGTGTGTGTTTAACTCACAGAGTTTCACCTTTCTTTTCATACAGCATTCTGGAAACCCTCTGTTTGTAAAGTCTGCAAGTGGATATTTGGACCTCTTAGATGCCTTCGTTGGAAACGGGATTTCTTCATATAATGCTAGAGGGAAGAATTCTTAGTAACTTCTTTGTGTTGTGTGTATTCAACTGACAGAGTTGAACCTTCCTTTAGACAGAGCAGATTTGAAAGTCTCTTTTTGTGGAATTTGCAAGTGGAGATTTCAAGCGCTTTGAGGCCAAAAGCAGAAAAGGAAATATTTTCCTATAAAAACTAGACAGAATCTTTCTCAGAAACTGCTCTGGGATGTGTGCGTTCAACTCACAGAGTTTAACTTTTCTTTCCATTCAGCAGTTTGGAAACACTCTGTTTGGAAAGTCTGCACGTGGATATTTTGACCTCTTTGAGGCCTTCGTTGGAAACGGGTTTTTTTCTTGTAAGGCTAGACAGAAGAAATCTCAGTAACTTCCTTGTGTTGTGTGTATTCAACTGACAGAGTTGAACCTTCCTTTAGACAGAGCAGATTCGAAACACTCTTTTTCTGCAATTTGCAAGTGGAGACTTCAAGCGCTTTGAGGCCAAAGGCAGAAAAGGAAATATCTTCGTATAAAAACCCGACAGAATCATTCTCAGAAACTGCTCTGTGATGTGTGCGTTCAACTCACAGAGTTTAACTTTTCTTTTCATTCAGCAGTTTGGAAACACTCTGTTTGTAAAGTCTGCAAGTGGATATCTTGGCCTCTTAGAGGCCTTCGTTGGAAACGGGTTTTTTCATGTAAGGTTAGACAGAGGAATTCCCAGTAACTTCCTTGTGTTGTGTGCACTCAACTCACAGAGTTGAATGATTCTTTACACAGAGCAGATTTGAGACACTCTTTTGGTGGAATTTGTAAGTGGAGAATTCAGCCGCTTTGAGGTCAACGGTAGAAAAGGAAATATCTTCGTATAAAAACTAGACAGAATGATTCTCAGAAACTGTTTTGTGATGTGTGCGTTCAACTCACAGAGTTTAACCTTTCTTTTCAAAGAGCAGTTAGGAAACACTCTGTTTGTAAAGTCTGCAAGTGGATATTCAGACCTCTTTGAGGCCTTCGTTGGAAACGGGATTTCTTCATATTATGCTAGACAGATGAATTCTCAGTAACTTCCTTGTGTTGTGTGTATTCAACTCACAGAGTTGAACGATCCTTTACACAGAGCAGATTTGAAACACTGTTTTTCTGGAATTTGCAAGTGGAGATTTCAGCCGCTTTGAGGTCAATGGTAGAAAAGGAAATATCTTCGTATAAAAACTGGACAGAATGATTCTCAGAAACTCCTTTGTGATGTGTGCGTTCAACTCACAGAGTTTAACCTTTCTTTTCACAGAGCAGTTAGGAAACACTCTGTTTGTGAAGCCTGCCAGTGGATAATCGGACCTCTTTGAGGCCTTCGTTGGAAACGGGATTTCTTCATATTATGCTAGACAGAAGATTTCTCAGTAACTTCTTTGTGTTGTGTGTATGCAACTCACAGAGTTCAACCTTCCTTTAGACAGAGCAGATTTGAAACACTCTTTTTGTGGAATTTGCAAGTGGAGATTTCAAGCGCTTCGATGCCAATGGTAGAAAAGGAAATATCTTCGTATAAAAACAAGACAAACTCGTTCCCAGACACTGCGTAGTGATGTGTGTGTTTAACTCACAGAGTTTAACCTTTCTTTTCACAGAGCAGTTAGGAAACACTCTGTTTGTGAAGCCTGCCAGTGGATATTCGGACCTCTTTGAGGCCTTCGTTGGAAACGGGATTTCTTCATATTATGCTAGACAGAAGATTTCTCAGTAACTTCTTTGTGTTGTGTGTATGCAACTCACAGAGTTCAACCTTCCTTTAGACAGAGCAGATTTGAAACACTCTTTTTGTGGAATTTGCAAGTGGAGATTTCAAGCGCTTCGATGCCAATGGTAGAAAAGGAAATATCTTCGTAGAAAAACAAGACAAACTCGTTCCCAGACACTGCGTAGTGATGTGTGTGTTTAACTCACAGAGTTTCACCTTTCTTTTCATACAGCATTCTGGAAACCCTCTGTTTGTAAAGTCTGCAAGTGGATATTTGGACCTCTTAGATGCCTTCGTTGGAAACGGGATTTCTTCATATAATGCTAGAGGGAAGAATTCTTAGTAACTTCTTTGTGTTGTGTGTATTCAACTGACAGAGTTGAACCTTCCTTTAGACAGAGCAGATTTGAAAGTCTCTTTTTGTGGAATTTGCAAGTGGAGATTTCAAGCGCTTTGAGGCCAAAAGCAGAAAAGGAAATATTTTCCTATAAAAACTCGACAGAATCATTCTCAGAAACTGCTCTGTGATGTGTGCGTTCAACTCACAGAGTTTAACTTTTCTTTTCATTCAGCAGTTTGGAAACACTGTTTGGAAAGTCTGCACGTGGATATTTTGACCTCTTTGAGGCCTTCGTTGGAAACGGGTTTTTTTCATGTAAGGCTAGACAGAAGAAATCTCAGTAACTTCCTTGTGTTGTGTGTATTCAACTGACAGAGTTGAACCTTCCTTTAGACAGAGCAGATTCGAAACACTCTTTTTCTGCAATTTGCAAGTGGAGACTTCAAGCGCTTTGAGGCCAAAGGCAGAAAAGGAAATATCTTCGTATAAAAACCCGACAGAATCATTCTCAGAAACTGCTCTGTGATGTGTGCGTTCAACTCACAGAGTTTAACTTTTCTTTTCATTCAGCAGTTTGGAAACACTCTGTTTGTAAAGTCTGCAAGTGGATATCTTGGCCTCTTAGAGGCCTTCGTTGGAAACGGGTTTTTTCATGTAAGGATAGACACAGGAATTCCCAGTAACTTCCTTGTGTTGTGTGCATTCAACTCACAGAGTTGAATGATTCTTTACACAGAGCAGATTTGAGACACTCTTTTGGTGGAATTTGTAAGTGGAGAATTCAGCCGCTTTGAGGTCAACGGTAGAAAAGGAAATATCTTCGTATAAAAACTAGACAGAATGATTCTCAGAAACTGTTTTGTGATGTGTGCGTTCAACTCACAGAGTTTAACCTTTCTTTTCAAAGAGCAGTTAGGAAACACTCTGTTTGTAAAGTCTGCAAGTGGATATTCAGACCTCTTTGAGGCCTTCGTTGGAAACGGGATTTCTTCATATTATGCTAGACAGATGAATTCTCAGTAACTTCCTTGTGTTGTGTGTATTCAACTCACAGAGTTGAACGATCCTTTACACAGAGCAGATTTGAAACACTGTTTTTCTGGAATTTGCAAGTGGAGATTTCAGCCGCTTTGAGGTCAATGGTAGAAAAGGAAATATCTTCGTATAAAAACTAGACAGAATGATTCTCAGAAACTCCTTTGTGATGTGTGCGTTCAACTCACAGAGTTTAACCTTTCTTTTCACAGAGCAGTTAGGAAACACTCTGTTTGTGAAGCCTGCCAGTGGATATTCGGACCTCTTTGAGGCCTTCGTTGGAAACGGGATTTCTTCATATTATGCTAGACAAAAGATTTCTCAGTAACTTCTTTGCGTTGTGTATATGCAACTCACAGAGTTCAACCTTCCTTTAGACAGAGCAGATTTGAAACACTCTTTTTGTGGAATTTGCAAGTGGAGATTTCAAGCGCTTCGATGCCAATGGTAGAAAAGGAAATATCTTCGTATAAAAACAAGACAAACTCGTTCCCAGACACTGCGTAGTGATGTGTGTGTTTAACTCACAGAGTTTAACCTTTCTTTTCATACAGCATTCTGGAAACCCTCTGTTTGTAAAGTCTGCAAGTGGATATTTGGACCTCTTAGATGCCTTCGTTGGAAACGGGATTTCTTCATATAATGCTAGAGGGAAGAATTCTTAGTAACTTCTTTGTGTTGTGTGTATTCAACTGACAGAGTTGAACCTTCCTTTAGACAGAGCAGATTTGAAAGTCTCTTTTTGTGGAATTTGCAAGTGGAGATTTCAAGCGCTTTGAGGCCAAAAGCAGAAAAGGAAATATTTTCCTATAAAAACTCGACAGAATCTTTCTCAGAAACTGCTCTGGGATGTGTGCGTTCAACTCACAGAGTTTAACTTTTCTTTTCATTCAGCAGTTTGGAAACACTCTGTTTGGAAAGTCTGCACGTGGATATTTTGACCTCTTTGAGGCCTTCGTTGGAAACGGGTTTTTTTCATGTAAGGCTAGACAGAAGAAATCTCAGTAACTTCCTTGTGTTGTGTGTATTCAACTGACAGAGTTGAACCTTCCTTTAGACAGAGCAGATTCGAAACACTCTTTTTCTGCAATTTGCAAGTGGAGACTTCAAGCGCTTTGAGGCCAAAGGCAGAAAAGGAAATATCTTCGTATAAAAACCCGACAGAATCATTCTCAGAAACTGCTCTGTGATGTGTGCGTTCAACTCACAGAGTTTAACTTTTCTTTTCATTCAGCAGTTTGGAAACACTCTGTTTGTAAAGTCTGCAAGTGGATATCTTGGCCTCTTAGAGGCCTTCGTTGGAAACGGGTTTTTTCATGTAAGGTTAGAGAGAGGAATTCCCAGTAACTTCCCTTGTGTTGTGTGCATTCAACTCACAGAGTTGAATGATTCTTTACACAGAGCAGATTTGAGACACTCTTTTGGTGGAATTTGTAAGTGGAGAATTCAGCCGCTTTGAGGTCAACGGTAGAAAAGGAAATATCTTCGTATAAAAACTAGACAGAATGATTCTCAGAAACTGTTTTGTGATGTGTGCGTTCAACTCACAGAGTTTAACCTTTCTTTTCAGAGAGCAGTTAGGAAACACTCTGTTTGTAAAGTCTGCAAGTGGATATTCAGACCTCTTTGAGGCCTTCGTTGGAAACGGGATTTCTTCATATTATGCTAGACAGATGAATTCTCAGTAACTTCCTTGTGTTGTGTGTATTCAACTCACAGAGTTGAACGATCCTTTACACAGAGCAGATTTGAAACACTGTTTTTCTGGAATTTGCAAGTGGAGATTTCAGCCGCTTTGAGGTCAATGGTAGAAAAGGAAATATCTTCGTATAAAAACTAGACAGAATGATTCTCAGAAACTCCTTTGTGATGTGTGCGTTCAACTCACAGAGTTTAACCTTTCTTTTCACAGAGCAGTTAGGAAACACTCTGTTTGTGGAGCCTGCCAGTGGATATTCGGACCTCTTTGAGGCCTTCGTTGGAAACGGGATTTCTTCATATTATGCTAGACAGAAGATTTCTCAGTAACTTCTTTGTGTTGTGTGTATGCAACTCACAGAGTTCAACCTTCCTTTAGACAGAGCAGATTTGAAACACTCTTTTTGTGGAATTTGCAAGTGGAGATTTCAAGCGCTTCGATGCCAATGGTAGAAAAGGAAATATCTTCGTATAAAAACAAGACAAACTCGTTCCCAGACACTGCGTAGTGATGTGTGTGTTTAACTCACAGAGTTTCACCTTTCTTTTCATACAGCATTCTGGAAACCCTGTGTTTGTAAAGTCTGCAAGTGGATATTTGGACCTCTTAGATGCCTTCGTTGGAAACGGGATTTCTTCATATAATGCTAGAGGGAAGAATTCTTAATAACTTCTTTGTGTTGTGTGTATTCAACTGACAGAGTTGAACCTTCCTTTAGACAGAGCAGATTTGAAAGTCTCTTTTTGTGGAATTTGCAAGTGGAGATTTCAAGCGCTTTGAGGCCAAAAGCAGAAAAGGAAATATTTTCCTATAAAAACTCGACAGAATCTTTCTCAGAAACTGCTCTGGGATGTGTGCGTTCAACTCACAGAGTTTAACTTTTCTTTTCATTCAGCAGTTTGGAAACACTCTGTTTGGGAAGTCTGCACGTGGATATTTTGACCTCTTTGAGGCCTTCGTTGGAAACGGGTTTTTTTCATGTAACGCTAGACAGAGGAAATCTCAGTAACTTCCTTGTGTTGTGTGTATTCAACTGACAGGGTTGAACCTTCCTTTAGACAGAGCAGATTCGAAACAGTCTTTTTCTGCAATTTGCAAGTGGAGACTTCAAGCGCTTTGAGGCCAAAGGCAGAAAAGGAAATATCTTCGTATAAAAACCCGACAGAATCATTCTCAGAAACTGCTCTGTGATGTGTGCGTTCAACTCACAGAGTTTAACTTTTCTTTTCATTCAGCAGTTTGGAAACACTCTGTTTGTAAAGTCTGCAAGTGGATATCTTGGCCTCTTAGAGGCCTTCGTTGGAAACGGGTTTTTTCATGTAAGGTTAGACAGAGGAATTCCCAGTAACTTCCTTGTGTTGTGTGCATTCAACTCACAGAGTTGAATGATTCTTTACACAGAGCAGATTTGAGACACTCTTTTGGTGGAATTTGTAAGTGGAGAATTCAGCCGCTTTGAGGTCAACGGTAGAAAAGGAAATATCTTCGTATAAAAACTAGACAGAATGATTCTCAGAAACTGTTTTGTGATGTGTGCTTTCAACTCACAGAGTTTAACCTTTCTTTTCAAAGAGCAGTTAGGAAACACTCTGTTTGTAAAGTCTGCAAGTGGATATTCAGACCTCTTTGAGGCCTTCGTTGGAAACGGGATTTCTTCATATTATGCTAGACAGATGAATTCTCAGTAACTTCCTTGTGTTGTGTGTATTCAACTCACAGAGTTGAACGATCCTTTATACAGAGCAGATTTGAAACACTGTTTTTCTGGAATTTGCAAGTGGAGATTTCAGCCGCTTTGAGGTCAATGGTAGAAAAGGAAATATCTTCGTATAAAAACTGGACAGAATGATTCTCAGAAACTCCTTTGTGATGTGTGCGTTCAACTCACAGAGTTTAACCTTTCTTTTCACAGAGCAGTTAGGAAACACTCTGTGAAGCCTGCCAGTGGATATTCGGACCTCTTTGAGGCCTTCGTTGGAAACGGGATTTCTTCATATTATGCTAGACAGAAGATTTATCAGTAACTTCTTTGGGTTGTGTGTATGCCACTCACAGAGTTCAACCTTCCTTTAGACAGAGCAGATTTGAAACACTCTTTTTGTGGAATTTGCAAGTGGAGATTTCAAGCGCTTCGATGCCAATGGTAGAAAAGGAAATATCTTCGTATAAAAACAAGACAAACTCGTTCCCAGACACTGCGTAGTGATGTGTGTGTTTAACTCACAGAGTTTAACCTTTCTTTTCATACAGCATTCTGGAAACCCTCTGTTTGTAAAGTCTGCAAGTGGATATTTGGACCTCTTAGATGCCTTCTTTGGAAACGGGATTTCTTCATATAATGCTAGAGGGAAGAATTCTTAGTAACTTCTTTGTGTTGTGTGTATTCAACTGACAGAGTTGAACCTTCCTTTAGACAGAGCAGATTTGAAAGTCTCTTTTTGTGGAATTTGCAAGTGGAGATTTCAAGCGCTTTGAGGCCAAAAGCAGAAAAGGAAATATTTTCCTATAAAAACTAGACAGAATCTTTCTCAGAAACTGCTCTGGGATGTGTGCGTTCAACTCACAGAGTTTAACTTTTCTTTTCATTCAGCAGTTTGGAAACACTCTGTTTGGAAAGTCTGCACGTGGATATTTTGACCTCTTTGAGGCCTTCGTTGGAAACGGGTTTTTTTCATGTAAGGCTAGACAGAAGAAATCTCAGTAACTTCCTTGTGTTGTGTGTATTCAACTGACAGAGTTGAACCTTCCTTTAGACAGAGCAGATTCGAAACACTCTTTTTCTGCAATTTGCAAGTGGAGACTTCAAGCGCTTTGAGGCCAAAGGCAGAAAAGGAAATATCTTCGTATAAAAACCCGACAGAATCATTCTCAGAAACTGCTCTGTGATGTGTGCGTTCAACTCACAGAGTTTAACTTTTCTTTTCATTCAGCAGTTTGGAAACACTCTGTTTGTAAAGTCTGCAAGTGGATATCTTGGCCTCTTAGAGGCCTTCGTTGGAAACGGGTTTTTTCATGTAAGGTTAGACAGAGGAATTCCCAGTAACTTCCTTGTGTTGTGTGCATTCAACTCACAGAGTTGAATGATTCTTTACACAGAGCAGATTTGAGACACTCTTTTGGTGGAATTTGTAAGTGTAGAATTCAGCTGCTTTGAGGTCAACGGTAGAAAAGGAAATATCTTCGTATAAAAACTAGACAGAATGATTCTCAGAAACTGTTTTGTGATGTGTGCGTTCAACTCACAGAGTTTAACCTTTCTTTTCAAAGAGCAGTTAGGAAACACTCTGTTTGTAAAGTCTGCAAGTGGATATTCAGACCTCTTTGAAGCCTTCGTTGGAAACGGGATTTCATCATATTATGCTAGACAGATGAATTCTCAGTAACTTCCTTGTGTTGTGTGTATTCAACTCACAGAGTTGAACGATCCTTTACACAGAGCAGATTTGAAACACTGTTTTTCTGGAATTTGCAAGTGGAGATTTCAGCCGCTTTGAGGTCAATGGTAGAAAAGGAAATATCTTCGTATAAAAACTGGACAGAATGATTCTCAGAAACTCCTTTGTGATGTGTGCGTTCAACTCACAGAGTTTAACCTTTCTTTTCACAGAGCAGTTAGGAAACACTCTGTTTGTGAAGCCTGCCAGTGGATATTCGGACCTCTTTGAGGCCTTCGTTGGAAACGGGATTTCTTCATATTTTGCAAGACAGAAGATTTCTCAGTAACTTCTTTGTGTTGTGTGTATGCAACTCACAGAGTTCAACCTTCCTTTAGACAGAGCAGATTTGAAACACTCTTTTTGTGGAATTTGCAAGTGGAAATTTCAAGCGCATCGATGCCAATGGTAGAAAAGGAAATATCTTCGTATAAAAACAAGACAAAACTCGTTCCCAGACACTGCGTAGTGATGTGTGTGTTTAACTCACAGAGTTTCACCTTTCTTTTCATACAGCATTCTGGAAACCCTGTGTTTGTAAAGTCTGCAAGTGGATATTTGGACCTCTTAGATGCCTTCGTTGGAAACGGGATTTCTTCATATAATGCTAGAGGGAAGAATTCTTAGTAACTTCTTTGTGTTGTGTGTATTCAACTGACAGAGTTGAACCTTCCTTTAGACAGAGCAGATTTGAAAGTCTCTTTTTGTGGAATTTGCAAGTGGAGATTTCAAGCGCTTTGAGGCCAAAAGCAGAAAAGGAAATATTTTCCTATAAAAACTCGACAGAATCATTCTCAGAAACTGCTCTGTGATGTGTGCGTTCAACTCACAGAGTTTAACTTTTCTTTTCATTCAGCAGTTTGGAAACACTGTTTGGAAAGTCTGCACGTGGATATTTTGACCTCTTTGAGGCCTTCGTTGGAAACGGGTTTTTTTCATGTAAGGCTAGACAGAAGAAATCTCAGTAACTTCCTTGTGTTGTGTGTATTCAACTGACAGAGTTGAACCTTCCTTTAGACAGAGCAGATTCGAAACACTCTTTTTCTGCAATTTGCAAGTGGAGACTTCAAGCGCTTTGAGGCCAAAGGCAGAAAAGGAAATATCTTCGTATAAAAACCCGACAGAATCATTCTCAGAAACTGCTCTGTGATGTGTGCGTTCAACTCACAGAGTTTAACTTTTCTTTTCATTCAGCAGTTTGGAAACACTCTGTTTGTAAAGTCTGCAAGTGGATATCTTGGCCTCTTAGAGGCCTTCGTTGGAAACGGGTTTTTTCATGTAAGGATACACACAGGAATTCCCAGTAACTTCCTTGTGTTGTGTGCATTCAACTCACAGAGTTGAATGATTCTTTACACAGAGCAGATTTGAGACACTCTTTTGGTGGAATTTGTAAGTGGAGAATTCAGCCGCTTTGAGGTCAACGGTAGAAAAGGAAATATCTTCGTATAAAACTAGACAGAATGATTCTCAGAAACTGTTTTGTGATGTGTGCATTCAACTCACAGAGTTTAACCTTTCTTTTCAAAGAGCAGTTAGGAAACACTCTGTTTGTAAAGTCTGCAAGTGGACATTCAGACCTCTTTGAGGCCTTCGTTGGAAACGGGATTTCTTCATATTATGCTAGACAGATGAATTCTCAGTAACTTCCTTGTGTTGTGTGTATTCAACTCACAGAGTTAAACGATCCTTTACACAGAGCAGATTTGAAACACTGTTTTTCTGGAATTTGCAAGTGGAGATTTCAGCCGCTTTGACGTCAATGGTAGAAAAGGAAATATCTTCGTATAAAAACTAGACAGAATGATTCTCAGAAACTCCTTTGTGATGTGTGCGTTCAACTCACAGAGTTTAACCTTTCTTTTCACAGAGCAGTTAGGAAACACTCTGTTTGTGAAGCCTGCCAGTGGATATTCGGACCTCTTTGAGGCCTTCGTTGGAAACGGGATTTCTTCATATTATGCTAGACAGAAGATTTCTCAGTAACTTCTTTGTGTTGTGTGTATGCAACTCACAGAGTTCAACCTTCCTTTAGACAGAGCAGATTTGAAACACTCTTTTTGTGGAATTTGCAAGTGGAGATTTCAAGCGCTTCGATGCCAATGGTAGAAAAGGAAATATCTTCGTATAAAAACAAGACAAACTCGTTCCCAGACACTGCGTAGTGATGTGTGTGTTTAACTCACAGAGTTTAACCTTTCTTTTCATACAGCATTCTGGAAACCCTGTGTTTGTAAAGTCTGCAAGTGGATATTTGGACCTCTTAGATGCCTTCGTTGGAAACGGGATTTCTTCATATAATGCTAGAGGGAAGAATTCTTAGTAACTTCTTTTTGTTGTGTGTATTCAACTGACAGAGTTGAACCTTCCTTTAGACAGAGCAGATTTGAAAGTCTCTTTTTGTGGAATTTGCAAGTGGAGATTTCAAGCGCTTTGAGGCCAAAAGCAGAAAAGGAAATATTTTCCTATAAAAACTCGACAGAATCTTTCTCAGAAACTGCTCTGGGATGTGTGCGTTCAACTCACAGAGTTTAACTTTTCTTTTCATTCAGCAGTTTGGAAACACTCTGTTTGGAAAGTCTGCACGTGGATATTTTGACCTCTTTGAGGCCTTCGTTGGAAACGGGTTTTTTTCATGTAAGGCTAGACAGAAGAAATCTCAGTAACTTCCTTGTGTTGTGTGTATTCAACTGACAGAGTTGAACCTTCCTTTAGACAGAGCAGATTCGAAACACTCTTTTTCTGCAATTTGCAAGTGGAGACTTCAAGCGCTTTGAGGCCAAAGGCAGAAAAGGAAATATCTTCGTAGAAAAACCCGACAGAATCATTCTCAGAAACTGCTCTGTGATGTGTGCGTTCAACTCACAGAGTTTAACTTTTCTTTTCATTCAGCAGTTTGGAAACACTCTGTTTGTAAAGTCTGCAAGTGGATATCTTGGCCTCTTAGAGGCCTTCGTTGGAAACGGGTTTTTTCATGTAAGGATACACACAGGAATTCCCAGTAACTTCCTTGTGTTGTGTGCATTCAACTCACAGAGTTGAATGATTCTTTACACAGAGCAGTTTTGAGACACTCTTTTGGTGGAATTTGTAAGTGGAGAATTCAGCCGCTTTGAGGTCAACGGTAGAAAAGGAAATATCTTCGTATAAAAACTAGACAGATCTGTCTAGTTTTTATACAAAGATATTTCCTTTTCTACCGTTGACCTCAAAGCGGCTGAATTCTCCACTTACTAATTCCATCAAAAGAGTGTCTCCGGTGGCTCACGCCTGTAATCCCAGCACTTTGGGAGGCCGAGGCGGGCGGATCACGAGGTCAGGAGATCGAGACCATCCCGGCTAA